>NC_000004.12:116648653-116800168 GCF_000001405.40 Homo sapiens
TGGGTTTCTGTTATCTGCTGTGATAATAGTCTTGACTAATGCAGAAATGGTTACTTTGTTACCATAACACATCTGTTTTAAAGGTTATAAAAAGAAAAAACTAGTTCTGCCATTATAAAATAAAATTACGAATGGCATTCAGAATGAACTGCACTTTATAAACAGAGGTAGAATCCCATTTGGTGAAGATATAAGAAAATGAATATTTTCTTGTATATTTATCTTGAGTTTAATGAAATTAAAATTCAAATGCTAATAACTAAGACTAATTTTATGCAAAATCATAGACAGTCACAATTTTACCCAAACAACGAGCAAAAATAATAACTAAAATTATTTTAGTGAAATTCAGTTTAGAGTCATAAAAATTGAGAATCAGTTCTAAAGGCAACTCTGTAATCAAAGTATCTTAAAAATTACTGTTAATCCTCTTGACTTATTTTTGAATAACTTTTAATGTAATTTTCTAGAAGGCAAATAAATAGAAATTTTTAGTGTAGGAGAATTTTCATGTAAGATCAAAGTGACAAATTAGTCACTTTTAGTGCTCAGCAGGCAGAGAAATGTGTAAAGAGAGACTGGCCTAGTCTCCCAGTCTACATCTTTCTCCCGTGCTGGATGCTTCCTGCCCTCAAAAATCGGACTCCAAGTTCTTCAGTTTTGGAACTCGGACTGGCTCTCTTTGCTGCTCAGCCTGCAGACAGCCTGTTGGGAGACCTTGTGATCATGTGAGTTAATGCTTGATTAATAAACTCATATATATATGTATTCCATTAGTTCTGTCCCTCTAGAGAACCCTGATTAATACAGATGTTGGAACCAGAGTGGTTCTAGAGAAACAGAATATTAAGTATGGCATTCTTTTGTTGGTTTGGGGGTTTCTGGAGTTGGCTGCTTAATATAATCAGACCTCAAAAATGCTAAGGACTCTATTTCTAATAGTGTGGAGAATACTGATAGTCCTTGGCATGAAGTATTTAAAGATACATGCAAAATAAATACACTTGGTACTCCCGATTCATCACTCGTGAGAGACAAGGAGTTTATTCACTCTATACATAATACCTTTGACCATATGTGGAGAACAAAAGGAAAATAATAGGAGAAACACACACAAATGTACACACACACACACATACACACCTGCCATAGTCGTTGTGTTCTGTTTTTAATTTGCCAATGAATGCAGCATTTTCTTACTACCTGCAAAACAAGACATCTGGAAATTATTTTAGAACATTTCCTCACTGAACAATCTGGTCAGTTAATCCTGGAAAATTCTGTCTTCCTTAATCCATTGCCCCCACTCTATGTTTGCTCGCACTGCCGTTTTTCAGGTTGGGCTATGGAAATAGTTCAAGCTGGCCTTTCTAAATCTAGTCTCACTGCATTCCAATACGCTCCAGCTTGGGAGGAGGAGATTGCAGTGAGCCAAGATTGTACCAATGCACTCCAGCCTGGGCAACGGAGTGAGACTTCATCTCAAAAAAAAAAAAAAGAATATACCCTCCAGAACAATAACTTAATATCAGCTAATATCAGTGCTGACCCTGACAATGTTAGGTTGTTATTAATCATCGCTGGGATAAAATCCAAACTATTTGTGATGGCATAAATGGACTTTTATATTCTAATCTTTTCTTATCTCTTAAATTTTTATCTCTCACATCACTCTTACATGTGGTCAATGGTATAATAATATTAATCCACTTGTAGTTACAAAAAGTATCCTGTTATTTACACATGTACAACCAACCTTTGTATAATGCTTTCCTCTTGTATCCAGTCACTCTAATTCTGTTTCATTTGGTAATTTATTTCTCTACTCTTTGAACTTAGGCCCAGATGTCACTCTTATTGAGTTAACTGGAATACAATTTAAATAAATCCTCCTGGATATACATGCATAATGCTAACACTTATCACACAATATTGTATCTTTGTATTGTTTGCCTTCTTCATTAGACTATGACCCCTTGAAGGCAATGCCATATTTTTATCTACCATAACTAAGTACGTAGAATAATGTAGCAATTTAAGAAATATTTGTGAACAACTAGGAGAATGAAGGAGAATGAAAGAAATGAATACAAAAAGAAAAAAGAGGGACTAAAACAGTAACTTAGTGAATGCCAATCCATAAAGAGTGTATCCCAGCAGGAAAGTTGACTGAAAAGTGGCATTTGATGATTTAGGTACAGAAGTAGGAAAGAATAATAGACTAGTATGATATCATAGAGTTTCCAAAGAAAATAATTAATGTCACCAAATGTTACAGACAGAAAGAGAGAGGGAGGGAACGAGGGAGGGGGAGAGAGAGACAGAGTCCCTGCATATCTCAGCTAGAAGTCACTGGTGACCTTGGTGAGAACAGGTCTGCAGAAGTTGTGGAGTCACCTATCAGACCACAGAATGTGGAAAATCATCAGGAATAGGGCATAAAGGACATGCTACTATTTCTGAAAGCTGAGAGAGGAATCATGAGATGAAGAGGTGGCAGCTCTGATATCTTGGGGCCCGGGGGCCAATTAAAAGAGGCTTCAGAGATGACATTTCAGGGACAGGGATGGACAGTTGGACTCCAGAGTAAGAAGATAAGGAGCTGAAATAGAGACTGAAAAGAAAAGAAGATGTAGAAAAATAGCTGAAAAAAAAGAAATGAAAAGTAATGGCCAGCAAGGGATTTCTTCTTTTCTTTTCTCCTTCATGGATAGTAGGTATGTGAACAGGCTTTGACATCCATCTATCTACCATGACATCTAAACACACTCCATATAAAAAAGCTTTTCTGTTTCAAAAAATGCATTTTATCCATAACAAGTATCAAACCATAAACTAAACCATGAGTCATGTATTAGAAATATAACAAATTGCAGGCCTTCTATGAAGGCTGCGATAGTAATATTTCCAAGGAGCTTACATAAATATAAATTTGTCTAAAACACTTATTTTATTTGTTCACATGGTAAAAAAATGTACCTCTATAGTTACAAAATGTTCTTGTACTTGATGTGACTTAAATGGACAGAAAGAGATATTTCTGCATTTTTCTTATCTCTTTGCAGGTAATACAACCCCACCAGCAAAAGAAGACAATCCAACACAGACACTATTTCTCTGGTCAAATAAATCCGTTCTGAAAACAAAATGCCAAATCATTCTCTCTAATAATCAAGCTGTATGTTACAGCTTATATCAAATGCATCCACATAATGAGCGTAGTTCTGAAACTACCTTTAAAAATCTGACGTATGTTTACATTTACAACAAATTCTAAAAACAGTCACACGATAAAAAACACTGCATTATTATTTAAATAACCATAGCTTAGTCATACATTTTTATTTACTTTTACAGCAAAAAAGCAATTACCAGTTAGTATTATGAACTTATAACACCATCATACATTTTCTGTGAAACACATTATTCTATGTACTGTTCAGGTTAGGTATGATGTAGTTATTTAAAATATATAAGTAGAAGTCTTAAATGTCTTAAATGCATGTTGTATCTGTAATTTAACATCTGTCAAATATTGCATATTTCAGATGATATAAGAATAAATTAATTGAAATGGACATATTTATAAAAGGTTTTTTATGTTTTAAACATGTATTTACCAAAAATTGTCAGACAAATACACAATTTTACAGACATTGCAAAGCAAAGCAATTTTGATTCAAAAGTTGGCTTATGTTTCTTAGGTTAATTTAGCTTGTTTTACGTCCACTCTCCACAGATATTTAAATTAACTAACAATGACAATAATTGAGAGAATGAAAATTTTGAGGCAAATATCACCAAACATTTTTTTTTCTGAAGCAGTAGACAGAGTTGTCTAGGTATTCAAATTTTTTGTTATTTCCTAATTCACATTTTATAGTTATTATGTTATTCTTGTGATATTGTAATGGCCTGGAATTTCTTCTTTCTACTTCAGGACAGTTTCAAAGTTTTGCTCTCATTAAAGAAAATGGGTTGATTTATTCTTTTCTAATCCAGAAGTATGAATGTTACTGAATTGGAAAATTGTCTCACTGTCAGAAACATTACAAATGAGGTAGAGTTATTTTGGAATCATAGAAATGAGATAACTATAGAAGGATTACTATAAAGTTTATCTCTAAATTTTACCAACTAGAACCCAAGGAACAGTGCATATAGATCAATAATTATCTCTCCTTGGAGGATTGGGCTGGTTTTAAAGAGTAGCAATGCCAAACCCTCATGGAGATTTAATAATACAGCATAGATACATTGGGATTACAAATAGGCTAAAGTCTTTCTATTCCTGTCCTGTCAACAAATTTAAGATGTAATTGGAGAGAAGCAGATTTTTGAGAAAAACATAGAGAATACCACCATGAAAACCAAGGGGTGGGGGGGAAGACTTTCAGGAAATAAATGAAAATTTGGCAAATATAATTAATTTGAGGAGAAACAAGCTTAAATGAGATCATTAGACTTGGTCATCAGTAGGCCTTGTGTGAGACAGCAAAGGGAGATTTCATGAAGACAATGGTCAAGAATTGAGGGGAATCATTAAGCATGAAAATTGGAATATGTACTTTTCTCTGATTCTTCTCATAATTTGAAATGACAGTGATAAAATATAAATGTATAAACCTAAAACTACATAGAATACTAAAGAGGAGATGACAGTGGGTGAGAAGTGTAACAAGTTTTCCAGAGACAGAAAGAAAGATGAGGGGTAATTACCTATAGCATAGAGAAAGCTGAGAGTTAAGTGCCTGCATAGGAGGATGACATGAAGAAGCAAGATGTCTGTGCAACAGAAACCCACTGGATGTTTCCTGGAATAGAAATGCCAAGTACCTCAAGAAGATGGGATTAAGATTTAGTTGTTAACATTTTACTGAAGGAGGAGTTATTATCCAAATACCCTTTCCAAACCATATAGATATATGAATATCCCTTCTTGGAAAGGTGATTGAGGAATGTTGTTCTCAGCAAAAATTGAGTTAAAGTAATCCTAGTTTCAAGAACACTGGAGATAGCAGTGTTGAGTGCTGAGGGCGAGAGTGAGGGCAAAAACTGTCGTGACCATCAGAAAGGACATAAAACTACACATTATATATTACAGCTCTGACTCTTTTTCTTCAAAAATCAGTAATAATGCATACAGATATATAGAACAAGGCCAGAGATTTGAAAATTCATCTCTGTAGAAACTGGCTGGCTTAAAAAGATTAAAAACAAACCAACAAAGTGAAAAAACAAAAAATAAAAAATAACCGAAACAAAAACTACACTAATAAACAATTTGGTGTTCCACAATAGAACTTCATTATGAAAGAAGTCCATCGTTCAACAAGCCCTTTCATCCATCTATACACATAAATAAACATAGAGTCCCACTAAGCTTTTAATGTTTCACTCTAAATTGTGAATCAACAGCCAAGGATTAATAGACATTTTATGAAAGCCTACAACATAATGATGTTGAGATATCTCCTAGGAAGTAAAAAGGGGAAAGGAAGAAATAGAAAATAGAAAAGAAAAATAAACTATTATAGTAGGAAATCCAATTTCCAACTATATGTATTTTAGGAAGTGTGAGCATATCCAGGCGCGGTGGCTCATGCCTGTAATCCCAGCACTTTGGGAGACTGAGGCAGGTGGATCACTTGAGGTCAGGAGTTCGAGATCAGTCTGGCCAACATGGTGAAAACCCTTCTCTTCTAAAAAAAAAAAAAAAAAAAAAAAAATAGCAGGATATGGTGGCACACGCTTGTAATTCTAGCTTCTTGGGAGGCTAAAGCAGTAGAATCACTTGAACCTGGGAGGCGGAGGCTGCAGTGAGCTGAGATTGTGCCACTGTACTCTAACCTGGGTGACAGAGCAAGACTCTGTCTCAAAAAAAAAAGGGAAAAAAGAAAAGAAAGTGTGAAAGTGTGAGCAGATAAAATAAATAGGAGAATATTATTTTTTAAAATCCCAAATCATTAATATTTGTGCCCAAATTAAAAGATTCCACCAAGTGTCTATTATCACAAATAAAAAGGTGATTCATTCAAAGACTATAATTCTAAAATTTTAGAAACAATGGGAATAAAGAAAATAATTGTAAAAGCAGCAAAGAGAAAAAACAAAAACCAGATTTCATGCAATGGAATGGAATATTTCCAGACTACTTAAGATTAATACTGAGACATAACATCATTAGTTTATGCCTTCAGAATGCTGATAACAATCAATTATCAATTTAGAACTCCATAACGAAGAGACGACCACGATTGAGACAACAATTATTTTTCTCTTTGCAGGGCTTTACAAAAACCTTACTTTCCATGTAGGCTTTCTCAAGAAACTACTGCAAGCTAAGCATCCTACAAAAGGGAAAGTAAGTTTAAATTACAAAGACATAAAATACAGAAAACTAGGAACCCAACACCAGAAGATGAAGACTAGAAGATGGATGTTGGTGAGGAAATGCCTCCGTCTTGGGATGTGCAGCTGGTTAGAGTTCACCCAGGACAGATGGAAGCAGCTTCAAAAGGAGATAAAGCAGATAGATTATTTGTTTTTGTTTCTGTTTTTTAACTGGGATGAAAAGGCTTTTTCAGTGTCTTTTAATATATTGAGAAAATGAAGGAAGGTAAAAATGACTGTGCATGGGGTAGAATTAGACAACAGTATACTCATAAAACAGTATGAAATAAATAGATAATTATTTATGAGACATAATCAATAATAGCATTATATTATTTGGCAAAATGGCAGTAAATACAAGAATAAATCAGTAAGTAATTTAAATGAGTTTACCTGTGTGGCACAGACCTCCACTGGCTGGAGCTTGGAGTGGGCTGGCTGAAGATTTTTGTTTTAATCAATATTAGTATTGATCTTATGCTCTTAGTATCATTTAAGTTTAACACATGTATTATTTTGATAACTGCAATGCACTTCTTCAGTGAATGGGTAGTGAGAAAGTGTTATCTGTTATTGTAAATTACTTTGGTAAGATACCCTAATAATTTAGTAGTTAAGAAAAAGTGGAATAACTTGAGGTGTGGAGCAATATTCAGGGTTGCTTTGAGAATACATATTTTTTTGTTTTACTATAAAGTAGATGAAAATAAATTTGTAAAATAGAAATTCCAGTGGATAGACCAAATTTGCTGATTTAAATGAAAGGAGACAGAAATAATAGAGCCAGGTTCTGAAGATGGAAGAAAATAAGTTCAAAATCATGGATAGAAGGTTTATACTCTATAATAAAAATAACCCTTTATTAAATGTTTATCCTTCACCAGTCACAAAATATATTTTATCATTGCAATGACTTTATGACACAGTCATTATGATTTCCATTTTGCAACATAAAACTTGTGTCCAGAGGTTGAATGGTAGATTAAGCATCTGAACTGTCTCAATTCTAAATCTATGAAGCCTGACTTTTCAAACCTCCATTTCATCTGTAAAATTTGTCAAATAATAACGCCTCCTTTATCTAGTCATTTTAAATATTATTTAATATATGTAAATAGCATAGTGACACAGATGACCAAGAGTGAACATTCAGAATTGTTTAGCTGTCATTGTCATTTCTATTATCACTACCAATATTTCAATTTCTCATTTGCAAAAGGACAGTTACAAAGAGAAGCTAAGACTGGTGAATTAGAAGTGAACTTGTAGCTCATTCACATTATTATCTATGACTAAAATATCATTTTCAGGAGAGGAAACTACTTTAAAATCAAACCCAAAATAGACAGCAGGTAAGCTATTTTTCTGTAAAAACAAAAAAAGGAAAAAAAAAGCACATGCAAACTTTTTCAAATAAGATATTTGAGCAGATTGCAGCATTTACAACTAAGTTCACACATTTGCCAAAGAACACTAAGTTTTGTATAAAATTCATTAATATCTGAGAAAATAGATTTACAAAATATTAACCCACATTACAATTGAAAATGAGCATCTACATTTAACATTAATATTCAAATGATGTCAGTATACATGAGTGAATTTATGCATATGACACTTAACTGTAGAGAAAACTATGTAGCAATGCATATCAATATTGTTTTTATATGCTAATGGGCCTGTGACTAGTTGCCCATGAAGCAAGAAGACAATGAAAAACGTTGGGCTGCCGTGTCATACAAACTTCAAAATTATTTCATTATAGTTTTTTTAGTTATGAGTTGTTGTTGGCTATTTTTCCGTTTCCCATTTCTGAAAATCAATTTTGAGAGGAAAGAAAACCATTCAATATCGAAGGAGTCTTACTTCTTTCAACTGAATTTCAAGTTAAATAAGCCAGCACAATAGTAAAATTCACTCTTTTAAATGGAGAAATAAATGTTGAAATGAATTCTAGAAAATGTGTGACAGCATAGTTCTGCATCAGTGCTAGAAACCAGATGATACCTACATGAATCTCCACCTCCCAGAATTAATGTCATACCTTCACCAATACCTCTGAAATCATACTATTGCTAGTCTAATTCCATCACATGCAATTAACTTCCCTTCACTTATTAACAAGTTACATAATGTGTGTTATACAATCAGCTGCTTCTTTGCCTCCAATTCATTTGTTACATATATTGTGTCCACTTTCTATTAATGAATTAACTTAAAAGTGCATGGATAGACAAAAAGTGCTAAATAAGGGCTACTGGACTACAAAAAAAAAGTAAAGCTGGTGATCTAAAACTTTTTGTGCAGTAGATGAAATTCTCTTTAATTGCAAAAAACAAATTAAATTAGTTACACTAACGTAACACAACATTTGTTGTTGGCTTGTCAGTGATTTAAATATTTAAAAGATTCTTTCTAAATTTTCTCTCTCACCAAGAAAATATGCCTCATTAGTTAGTCAATTAAAGAGCAACCTGTCAGCTTCACTTTCAATAAGGTTTTACTTTCTTTGATGCATAGTAACCTATGCCAGTGGATCTCCCAGCAGAAATCCTACAAGTCAGAAGAGAATGGAGACCAATATTCAACATTCTTAAGTAAAGTAATTTTCAAACCGAATTTTATATCCAGCCAAACAATGCTTCATAAATGAAGGAGATATAAAATCCTTTCCAGACAGGCAAATGCTGAGGGATCTTGTCACCACCAGGCGTGCCTTACAATAGCTCCTAAAGGAAGCATTAAATATGGAAAGGAAAAACCAGTACCAGCCACTGCAAAAACACACCAAAATATAAAGACCAATGACGCTATGAAGAAACTGCATCAACTAATGTGCAAAATAACCAGCTAGCATCATGATGACAAAATCAAATTCACACATAACAATATTAACCTTAATGTAAATGGGCTAAATGCCCCAGTTAAAAGACACAGCCTGGAAAATTGGACAGAGTCAAGACCTATCGATGTGCTGAATCGAGGAGACCTATCTCATGTGTAAAGACTCCTGGGTAATAATAGCATTAAGACAGAAATCAAGAAGTTCTTTGAAACCAATAAGAACAAAGAGACAATGTACCAGAATCTCTGGGACACAGCTGAAGTAGTGTTAGAGGGAAATTTATAGCACTAATTGGCCACATCAGAAAGCTGGAAAGATCTCAAATCAACACCCTAACATAACAATTAAAAGAACTAGAGAAGCAAGAGCAAACACATGCAAAAGCTAGCAGAAGACAAGAAATAACTAAGATCAGAGCAAAACTGAAGGAGATAGAGACATGAAAAATCCTTAAAAAAATCAATGAATCCAGGGGCTGGTTCTTTGAAAAAATGTAAAAAATAGATAGATCACTAGCTAGACTAATAAAGAAGAAAGACAGAAAAATCAAAAAGACACAATAAAGAAAGACCAAAAAGTCAAAAAGACGCAATAAAGAAAGACAGAAAAATAAAAAAGACACACTAAAAAATAATAAAGGGTATATCACCACTGATCCCACAGAAATACAAAATACCATCAGAGAATACCATAAACACCTCTATGTAAATAAACTAGAAAACCTGAAGAAATGGATAAATTCCTGGACACATATACCATCCAAAGACTAAACCAGGAAGAAGTCAAATCCCTGAATAGACCAATAGCAAGTTCTGAAATTGAGACAGTAATTATTGGCCTACCAACAAAAAAATTCCCAGGACCAGACAGATTCACAGCCAAATTCTAGAGGTACAAAGAGGAGCTGGTACCATTCCTTCTGAAACTATTCCAAAAAATTGATAGAGACTTTTCCCTAACTCATTTTATGAGGCCAGCATCTTCTTGATACCAAAACCTGGCAGAGACACAACAAAAAGAGAAAACTTTAGACCAATATCCCTGATGAATATCAATGTGAAAATCCTCAAAAAATACTAGTAAATTGAATCCAGCAGCACATCAAAAAGTTTATCCACCATGAACAAGTAGGCTTCATCTCTGGGATGCAAGGTTGGTTCTACATAAGCAAATCAATAAAGGTAATCCATCACTTAAACAAAACCAATGACAAAAACTGCATAATTATCTTAATAGACACATAAAAAGCCTTTGATTAAATTCAACATCCCTTCTTGTTAAAAACTCTCAATAAACAAGGTATTGATGGAACATATCTCAATAAAATAAAAGCTATTTATGACAAACCCATAGTCAACATCATACTGATTGGGCAAAAGCTGGAAGCATTCCCTTTGAAAACCGGCACAAGATAAAGATCCTCTCTCTCACCACTCCCATTCAACAATGTTTGGGAATTTCTGGCCAGGACAATCAGGCAAGAGAAAGAAATAAATGGTATTCAAATAGGAATAGATGAGATCAAATTGTCTCTGTTTGCATTTGATGTGATTCTGTGTTTAGAAAACCATAGCATCTGAGCCCAAAAACTCCTTAAGCTTATAAGCAACTTCAGTAAAGTCTCAGGATACAAAATCAACATGCAAAAGTCACAAGAATTTCTATACACCAACAATAGACAAGCAGAGAGCCATATCATGAGTGAACTTCCTTTCACAACTGCTACAAAGAGAATAAAATATCTAGGAACAAAGCATACAAGGGATGTGAAGGACCTCTTCAAGGAGAACTACAAGCTACTGATTAAGGAAATAAGGGAGGACACAAACAAATGGAAAAACATTCCCTGCTCATGGATAGGGAGAATCAGTATCATGAAAATGGCCATACTGCCAAATGCAATACATAGATTCAATGCTATTCCCATTGAACTACCACTGACTTTCTTCACAGAATTAGAAGATCACTACTTTAAATTTCATATCAAACCAAAAATGAGCCCATATAGCCAAGACAATCCAAAGCAAAAAGAACAAAGCTAGAGGAGTCACACTACCTGACATCAAACTATAGTACAAGGCTACAGTAATCAAAACAGCATGGTACTGCTACCAAAACAGACATATAGACCAATGGAACAAACACAGACCTCAGAAATAACACCACCACATCTACAACAATATGATCTTCTCTACAAACCTGACAAAAACAAGCAATGGGGAAAGGATTCCCTATTTGATAAGTGGCACTGGGAAAACTGGGTCGCCATATGCAGAAAACTGAAACTGGACCCCTTCCTTACACCTTATATAAAAATTAACTCAAGATGAATTAAAGACTTAAATGTAAAACCCAAAACCATAAAAACCCTAGAAGAAAACCTAGGCAATACCATTCAGGTTATAGGCATGGGCAAAGACTTCATAACTAAAACACCAAAAGCAATTGCAACAAAAGCCAAAATTGACCCATTGGCATCTAATTAAATGAAAGAGCTCCTGTACAGCAAATGAAACTGACATTAGAGTGAACAGGCAACCTACAGAATAGGAGGAAATTTTTTCAATCTATTCATCTGACAAAGGTCTAATATCCAGAATTTACAAGGAACTTAAACAAATTTACAAGAAAAAAAAACAACCTCATCAAAAAGTGGGCAAAGGATATGAACAGACACTTCTCAAAAGAAAACATTCACGTGGCCAACAAACATATTGAAAAAAAAAGCTCATCATAACTGATCATTAGAGAAAGGCAGATAAAAGCCACAATGAGATACGATCTCACACCAGTAAGAATGGTGATTATTAAAAAGTATGGGAACAATAGATGCTGGTGATGCTGTGGAGAAATAGGAAAGCTTTTATGCTTTTGATGGGATTGTAAATTAGTTCAACTATTGTGGAAGATGGTGTGGTGATTCCTCAAGGATCTAGAACCAGAAATACCATTTGACCCAGCAATCTCATTACTGGGTATATACCCAAAGGAATATAAATCATTCCACTATAAAGACATGCACAATTTTGTTTATTGCAGCACTATTAGCAAAGTCATGGAATCAACCCAAATGCTCGTCAATGATAGACTGGTTCAAGAAAATGTGGTACATATACACCATGGAATACTATGCAGTCATAAAAAAGAATGAGATCATGTCCTTTGCAGGGACATCGATGAAGCTGGAAGCCATCATCCTCAGCAAACTAACACAGGAACAGAAAACCAAACACTGCATGTTCTCAATCATAAGCGGGAGTAGAACTATGAGAACGCACGAACACAGGGAGGGGAACAATACACACCAGGGCTTTTCAGGGGGTGGAAGGCAATGGGCGGGAGAGAATTAGGACAAATACCTAATCCATGTAAGGCTGAAAACCTAGACGATGGGTTTTTAGGTGTAGCAAACCACCATGGCACATGTATACCTATGTAACAAACCTGCACACTCTGCATATGTATCCTGGAACTTAAAGTAAAATTGAAAAAAAAAGTGAATACCAAAGAGTTATGGGCATGTGAAGTTGAGTTTATTTGGAACCAAATCCTGATATTTATTAGCCAATAATGCTCAGCATAAGATTTTTATCCTCACGTTAAAACTAGGTATGTATATAAACCATTTGGTAGAACAGTAGTTGTACTTGGATACTAGTTTTAATTTTAGCTGTACAGGAAAAACAATAAAACAAAAAAACAAAAACCTCTCTTAGAGCACTGAGCTCACCTGTCTGGCTAGTAACATAAAATCAGTAACCTCATGGAGAAGTTAGAACCAATGCAATATTGTGATTCTTACGTAAAAGAGGCTGAGCTGCAATATCTGCTTGTTGCATTAGAAATTGACACATTATCATCTCTTGCTTCATATTCTGAAAGAAATGAGAGATGTGGAGCTATCAGAGAATTGGGAATTAGACATTCATTAGGTAAGAAATAGTATATCAAATCAATGATTTTGCTCACCTGAAATGACCAATGACCTCCCGCTTTAGCAATCACCTAGGGTCATATCATCCATTGCTTCTATATACAGTTGAACATGAAAGTCAGGTTTCATCACAATGACTAACATTTTTATTCAGGACTTTCCACTCTGAGTGTGTGTGTATGTGTGTGTGTGTGTGTGTGCGCGCGCGCGTGCACGTGTGCGCAATTCCATTCACTGTCTTTAAAATTTACTTCCAAACTTTGTAAGAAAAGAGTTCTATGTTTTAGCAAGTGGAAAATATTTGAGGTAATTCATATAGCAAAGCAGAGAATGGTATTTAGCAGGGAAACCATTGCTGTACAATTATTTTTAACTAATCATTAATAATGTACTTGGTCTCAACATAGTATTTCTGGCAAAAAAAAAACAACAACAGTCTTTTGACTTGCAGGAATAAATGGGATGGATATCTGGCACATCAGATATTTCCATATTTTCTCTCATTCAATTATTCTCCTACAGGAAAAATTCGATTTTTATTAAGAGTATAATATGAGTATTTGCAAGTTGAATGTGTATTTGTTCTTTAATAAATGAAAAGGATAGAAAAATAAATCAAGTTAAATTATATACTGCTTTTCCTCCTATCTTGATTTCCTTCAGTGTTATTTCTTTCAGGATGAGCCACCCTGGAATTATAAAGAACTAAGGTTTCTCTTAGTCATATTAACATGTTTCAAGAGAGGAAAGCAAAAATGATGTCCTATTTACACAAACGTCCTTTTCTTTTCATTAGTTTTCATTTTTATTATTTTTAAGAGAGGTGCGTAGTCAGAGAAGCACTGCACATTTCTACCCAGTGGTTCTGTTAGGCCATATCCCTTACATTTTTCCACCAGCGATTCATGTGGAGTTATAAAAATCACCATCTATTATCTATATTGGCCTGATTTTCCCCAAACACAAGAGTTACAGGCAAATAAATTTTGCTTCTCTTTGTCTTCTATGAAAACACCAATATTCCACATATAGAAAAACAAGAATGCCTTATTCAATTTTGTTTTATTTACTATCAAACATTAATTGAAGACCTATGACATGCAAAAACATTCTCAGCAATTGGGAGAAAACATAATTTATTTTTTCTTCATTTTTAGAACAGTTTTAGGTTCACAGCAAATTGAGTGAATGGTACAGAGATTTCCCATTATACCGTACCCCCACACATGCACAGCCTTCCCCGTTATTAACATACCCCATCAGAGTGGTACATTTGTTACAACTGATGAACCTACATTAATTCATCATTATCATCCAAACTCCATAGCTTATTAAGGGTTAATTCTTGGTGTACATCCTATGGGTTTCAACAAACATGTAATGATGTACATTCACCATTAGTATCATCCAGAGTAGTTTCAAAGCCATAAAAATCTTCTGTACTCTGCCTATTTATCTCTTCCTTTGCACTAAACCCTTGCTATCACTGATCTTTTTAATGTCTCCATAGCACTGGTTTTTCCAGAATGCTATACAGTTGGAATCATACATACTGTGTGATTCCAGATAAACTTTGAGATAAACTTATTTAGATTAGTGATATGCATTTATGTTTCATCAGTTTTTAAAATACGATGATAGCTCATTTCTTTAGCAGTGAATAGCCTTCCATTGTCTGGACATACCATATTTTATTTATCTGTTTAACTACTGAAGGACATTTTGGTTGCTTCCAAGTTTAGCGATTACGAATGAACCCACTATAAACATCCATGTGTAAGAGTCTGTATGAACCTAAGTTTTCAGCTCACTTGGATAAATATCAAAGACTGTGGTTGCTTAATTATATGATAAGAGTGTGCTTATTTTTGTAAGAAACCAACAAATTTTGCGGGAGTGGGGGCAGTCGCTGTGCTGTGCCATTTAGCCTTGCTACTTGCAATGAATGAGAGCTCCTGTTGCCCCACATTCTTGCCACTATTCAATGCTGTCAGGATTCTAGAATTTTACCATTCTAATCGGTGTGTAATTGAGACAGCTAACTATAAAGGGGTCCCCAGAGAACCTCCAATTGGCCTGCGCACTGGGAGAGCAGGGTGGAGCCGTGGAAGTTTGCATCATTAGCTGGGGAAAGGAGCCTGGACCTTCTTGTTCCTGAGTGGTAACCAGGGATTTAATCTAATAGATGGGAAGCCAGCTAGCAGGACTCTTGCTTTGATGAGTGTCCCTGTTTCCTTTTTTTTTCTCCTTTTCATCAAATAAAACCTGCCCTTCTCATCCTTCAAAGTGTCTACAAGCCTAATCTTTCATGGTAGTGTGACAAGAATCTCATCTTTAGCTGCTGAACTAAGGAGAAAGTCCTACAACATTTTTTGGAGTCCAGACATGGGGCATGAGAGAAGGTAAGTGAGCTGCAAAAAAAAAAAAAAAGAGAGAAAACCTTTTTACTTTTGCTTCTAAGCCTTTTCCTCCTCAGACATCTGAAGGTAGAAAAAACTGTGCCCCAAGGGCTGTAGCTGCGCGTGGGACAGACTGGGAAATGGCAGCTCCTTGCTCCCCTCCTGGCCAGGGCTAGAATGCATGGCTCAAGGGTGCCCAACAGCAGGCTGGGTGGCATTCCCTGCCATGCACTTATGCACATTCCCCTCCTTGTACCCCACCACCCCTGCCAGGGAATCCAACTTTGTCCCACAGCAATTAAGCTTCTCTCCAGGTTAGAGAAATCATTTGGGTAAGAATAAGAGGTTCTTCCCCAGGCAGCATTTTTAAACTGTGTGTGTTTTTTTTTTTTAATAGATTTTTTTTTCCTTCCTTTCTTTTATTGGGTCAGAAGTTGACTTTTAAATGATCTTTTTTTTTTTTTTCCAGAAGATGTTTTACTGGGCTAGGAATGATAAGGATCACTGTTTATATTCTCCGTAGAGTTTTGTGAAAAAGGATTTGTGAGGCTAGTCTTAAGCTGTAGCCACTCTGGTGTGCTTTGCATGTCTTTTTGTATGGTCCCCAGAAAACTCTGCTTCAGGCCTCCATCTTGTTTTATGTCCTAGGGGCATGGCCTGTAACCCTGTGGCAAGGCTTTGTTTAGCTTCCACAGGGCCTGGATTCAATCCTGGCTTAGGAAATGAGTCCTCTCTGGTTTGATATCTGCATGTTTTCCTAGCCCTGTTCCTTAAAGGGCTCCACCCAGTGACTGGGCTTTCTTCTGCTTGTCTGTGTCATTATGTATATGTTGTATGTGATGTCTATAAAAGAGTGCTGATTAATTGGCCTAAAGGAAGATAAGCACTTGGATCAGGTACTTTTTAAAAGGGAAGATAAAAGCTATGGTACCTTTCAGTTCACATGACTTTAATCCTTGGGAAATAAAAAACAGCCTTAAAGGTTATTGGTAAAATGCAGATGTTATCAAAATGTAAATAGGTGAACTAAATTATGCAGGTCAGGTGCAAGGTTTGCTAAATGTTTTGAGGTTATAAATTGCTTTTTGCTTTTTGAGAACGGTTCAACTTAGTAAGACCTGGGGAACATATGGAACTAACCACACCCTTACCAATGCTGGAAGGAGTCAGACCTTGGCTGCACCTAACACATAATCAAAACAACTTACCAGGTTTTACATTAAAGTTAAAAATTGCTAAAGGTTACCCTTATGACAGATAACTGAGATACTAGAAATAGATTTACATGCAAGGTGTGTAAGAACAGTAAAATGTTTTCTTAGCAAAAGGTTATAAGAAGTGCATTAGTTCATTTTCAAGCTACCGATTAAGACATACCTGAGACTGGGCAATTTACCAAAGCAAGAAGTTTATTAGACTTACAGATCCACCTGGCTGGGGAAGCCTCACAATCATGGTGGAAGGCAAAAAGGAGCAAGTCATGTCTTACACGGGTGGCAGCAGACAAAGCAAAAGCAAAAGACAAAGACAAAGCAAAAGCAAAAGACAAAGACAAAGCAAAAGACAAAAAAAGGGCAGGGAAACTGCCCTTTTTTAAAACCGTCAGATCTCATGAGATTTACTCATTGTCATGAGAACAACATGAGAAAGACTTGCTCCCATGACTCAATTACCTCCCACTGGGTCCCTCCCATGCCACATGGGAATTCAAGATGAGATTTTGGTAGGCACACAGCCAAACCATGTCAGAAGGCATAAAAATGTAAATTCTTGCCAAGGGTTAAAGAATTGTCTTAAATTAGATAAGATAAAGCTAAAAGTTCAAACTAGTGGTGGAAGAATTGTAAAAATTAGCCTTGCAAAAATTCCATGTATAAACATGTTGACTAAATGCAAAAGGGTATTATATGGTTTTTATGTAAATTGAGCATTGAAATAAAAACACAACAAGGTACTCTTAAGATACTAATATGCTCTTTGGCAAAATTTATAAAGGATTATAAATGATTTTTCGCTTTTTAAGTTTTTGAGTCATCACTTTGACAAAATAAATAAATTATGGCAATCTGGAATTCTATTTCATAACATCAAGTATTTTAAATATTTAACATATTTATCAGGCTTCCCCAAATCAAACTTCAGTTTCAAAATTGTCTTTCCTGATGCCTGGCTTTTTGGATGGTTCAGAAAGCCCTTGGAACATGCAGAAAAGAGGTAAACAGAATTATTTGACATATTTAGTTACATGAGGTTGCCAAAATGATATTCAATCTTTTTTAGTTTATATTTTGTTGAATAGTACTAATTTGTTCCAAAATTGCATGGGATTTCTAAAATTCGAATGTCTAAGCATAGACTATCAATGATAATTAAGGTTTTGTTAAGTTATTGTAAACCGCAGGGATAACCAAATGTCTTTGTCAATTGTGTTTCTAACTGTAACTGTCCTGGACATTTTGTTATTCACAGAGAACTGTTGTCTTATTTTAATCCTTCTCAAAAGATAATTTATAATAAGCTATGGAGCATTGAAGGTGCTCTCAAATACAGGTTTCTGATAACTTTGGAGTTTGTAATATTGGAATAAAGGAAAAATGTACAGGACTCATGAAGAGCTAAAAGGTTCAGAAATATAAAGCAAAACAAGAGGTAATTGAATGAACTCAGGAAACTGAAGTAAACTTTTGGACTTTTGGATGGAATATTGCTAATCCTTGTTTTGTTTTTCAGAATCAAGGAAATTTATTTTGAACTATTTACAGTCTTTGATAATTGAGTATAGTATACACCTTTGAATAAAATCTGGAGCATTTTTGTTTCTCTCTGCCTGGTTCCCATAGAATTTGAAAACTATCTATGAGTTTTCTCAACTTACAGCAATATAGTTGTTTGCATCAGTGCAATAAGAATCCATTTTGCTTTGCAACAGGACATAATTGGAGAAATTGGTTGTTTTACCAAAGCTTATAAAAAAGACTAGAAGGGTGTTCTTCCCTTTAAGGAATTGAGCTTGACTTGCAGAGCTGACAAAAGCACCTTGGGAAAAATCTGGCCTAATACCCTTGCCTATGCAGTCCCTGCACAGGATTTCTGACCCGTGGTCAGTAAAGAATGCCACTTTCTAACAGGCCCAGGAGCTCCAACTTTGTCTTGGGACCTTAAGAGGAAAGGATCACCCAACTCACAGATATCTGAGGATACAAACCCATGGCTGGGCTCAGCTTTAATAGGATTTATCTGAGGAAGATCCAGAGGAAGATGATAACAGAGGTTAAAAGGCATGGCACAGGTGAGCATGGCTAATTTCTGCTGATTAAACCAAGCCTCCCGTTTCATGGCTAAAGGTCATACTAGTATCCATGGCATAAATGAGGTCTAGGGAACTTCAAAACTACTGAACATAGGGGGTATTCCCTACTTGAATAGGTGAGAGTAGATCATTCTTATTCTCTAAGTGCTCCCTGTTTCATGGATGCAAGCCACTTTGACACCAATGGCTGGCACCTGCCAAGGTCACTGGTGCTCAGGGATCCAAGGACAGAAGAGGGAAAGAGGATGCTCTTCCTTCGCTCCCTCACATACCCTGGGTATTTGTTAGGAAGTGAAGGAACCAAGGATGCTTGTTCCCCTTTTTCTAGATGAATAACCATTCATCCCTGTATCCCTTTCAAATGCATCCTGAACTACTAGGACTGCTTTGAAAAAATGTCTTCTTTTTTTATTTCTCCTCCTCTGTCCTCTCTTTGTTGGTAGGTAATTGTGTCTCTGTACTATAGCATACTACCCTCAGGTGCATCCTCCAGACAGGGAAGAGTTAATTTCCCAAAACTCAGACTGGTTGGCTTATGATTGGGCACAGGGAAAGGGAACTCAGAAGCCCAACATGCCAGCAAAAGGTTAAAGTTTTTGACAAGTCAGGATTTTGGCCTCCCTCTCCCTGTGCAAACCGATAAAAGGCCTCAGGATTTTTGAGCTGTCTTTACCCTTCCTTTTCTTGTTTTGAGACATGTTTTCTAATAACTAGTTTGATCTCTTCTTGCCTTCAGGCCATCAAACTCCAAACAGTCATGCAACCAAAGTCTTGGACAGAGGGCATTTTCTGCTGGGGACCCTTAGATAGTTCTCTGAGGGAGATCTAACTGCCTTTTCCCTAAAACAGCGCCCCCTGTCAGCAGGAAGGAGTTAAGATTCGTCTTCATCCTTCTCCTCCTCCTCCTCCTCCTCCTTCTCTCTCTTCTGCTGCTCCCACTCCTGCTCCTTATTGTCATATTTATCCTTATCCTTATCCTTATCCTTATCTTTATCCTTATCCTTATCCTAATGTCAGTTAGATGTACTTCTTTAGAGGTGGGAATGAGACAACCAAGGGAAGAGAATAGAGAGCCCAGACACAGATCCATGTAACTGTCTTCAATTGCTCTTTGACAAAGGCAATATAATGGAGAAAATATATTCTTTTCAACAAATGGTAGAAGAACAACTGGACATACATGTGCAAAAAAAGAACCTATACACAGACCTTAAACCCTTCATACAAATTATTTCTAAATATATAATAGAGTTAAATGTAAAATGCAAAACACTAAAAGTCCTAGAAGATAACAGAAGGGCAAACTTGGTAACTGAGGTATAGTGATGACTTTTTAGACACAACACCAATGGCACAATACATTAAGGAAAAAATTGATAAGCTTGGCTTAATTAAAATTTAAAAACTTTGCTCTGTATAAGACAATGTCAAGGTAATGAAAATACAAGACACAGGTTGGGGGGACACTATTTTCAAGGGACACATCTGATAAAGAACTGTTACCAACAATATATAAAGAACTCTTTAAATTCAGCAGTAGGAAAATGAAAGGCCAGATTAAAACATGACTCAAATACTTCTTTAACATATCCTTGACCAAAGAAGATATGCATATGGCAAGTAAGTACATGCAAAGTTGTTTTTTTTTAACATCATATGTCATTAAAGAATTGCAAATTAAGGCAACAATGAGATACCATCGCACATCTATTAGAATGGCCAAGATAAAAAACACTGACAACACCAAATGCCAACAAGTGTGCAGAGCAATGGGATTTCTCACACATTGTAGGTAGAAATGCAAAATGGTACATCTACCCTAAAAAAACTCTTGGTTTCTTACAAAATAATTATAGTCTTACTATGTGGTCCAGAAACCACACTCCTTGATATTTATCCAAATGCACTGAAGAATTATGTCCATACAAAAACTTGCATATGGATGTTTACAACAGATTTATTCATAATTGCCAAACTTGGAAGCAACAAACACGTCTTTTTTAATGTGAATGGATAAACAGTGGTATGTGCAGACAATGGAATATTATTCATTACTAAAAAGAAATGAGCTCTCATGATAAGACATGGAGGAAATTTAAATGCATATTCCTAATCTAAAGAAGCCTAATGAAAGCCTATCTGGAAGCATGCAAGTATGTCCCCGGCTATATAGTGTATGATTATATGACATTCTGGAAAAAGCAATATGATGGAAACAGTAAAAAGTCAGTGGTTGCTAGAGTTTAGTGGAGGAAGAGATGAATAGCCAGAGCACAAAAGATTTTCATGGCAGTGAAACTTGTCTATATGATACTGTAATGTTGAGTATATGCCATATTCAATAAGACTCATTAATTGTAATGAATATACAACTGTGGTGTGGAGCAGGCATAGTTGGGAAAGCAGTCTGTGTGTAGGGACAGTTGCTATAGAGAAACTCTCTGTAATTTCTACTCAATTTTCTATGAACCTAAATTGCTCTAAAATATAAAGTTTATTTTTGTAAATGGTTACTAACAGTATTAATTACAGAATCTTTAGCACATTTATTGTCCTTTAAATTGATTTCTCCTGTTGCTTCTATATGCAAATAAGAATAT
This sequence comes from Homo sapiens, assembly GCF_000001405.40. Classification (NCBI taxonomy): domain Eukaryota; kingdom Metazoa; phylum Chordata; class Mammalia; order Primates; family Hominidae; genus Homo; species Homo sapiens. The sequence continues at coordinate 116,670,135 of NC_000004.12, forward strand.
TTTTTACTTACATCAGATGTTTTAATTACCAAGCACATGCATTACTTCATTTATTCCTTAGAAAAGCGTTTTTAGGTTTTTACTGTAAATCAGGTATTGTTTTTTCTTTATCCAGATAGAGAAACCATAGCTGAAAAGTTAAAACCAGGATAACACATCTAAGGTCCCACATTACCTACATTTAGAATCTTAAAATGATTAACCAAACTTCTCTTGTTATTCTTGTACACAACAAAAGGGTAAAACATTAGTTCGGTTTCAGAAACTCTAAATTTTATTTGAGGTGTTCTAATGGTAAATGAAAAAAATAGTTTTGGAGGGCAGATAATTTATCAGGTTTAAAAATGTAGATTTTGTACTTTGTTAGCCCTTTTGTTGATGTGATTCTTCATGTTCACTCTTATACTAAGTGAAATCTGCCAAGAAAAAAAAATACATACTTTTTTTTTTTTATGGAGCAGCAGAGAGATGAAATGGTTTGGGTTTTAATTCACTTTTGAAGCTCAAATTAAATGACTTGGGGAAAAATATCTGAAGAAAAGAATCTTAATCTTCTCCCACTAGAAAAAAAAAAGCTGGAGGAACAGTAAAATGTGGAACATGAAGAAGGAGGAAGAATGTAAATGATGCACATATTTCCTGCTTATCTAGGGGAGGATGTGTTTTAAAATTTGAATTGTATGAATGTTCTGAATATCAGAGACAATCATTTTTAGCATAAGCACATAATTATAATATACTTTTAATGTTCATTTTTTGCCTTTATCATTTTTACTATCTATTGCTATAAATAAAATCAGAAGTTAATTACATTTTTAATGTAAAAATAATATTTCATTATTCATTTTTCAAGCTTCTTATTGTTTCTTATTTAATTATTCCTATAACAGTCAATGAAAAATCATATATTTAGTACCTTCCTCTCATCAGGACCCACCCCAAAACTGAATCTCAGATAAAATCAGCCAGCTAATTATCTTTAAGGTCCATGGAAGACAAGACGCTTTCACTAGGTAAGTTAGATACATATTATTTATTGTCTAATTAAAATAAATATTGGCTAGTTTTCTAAGATAATAATGGTTACTGTGGAGAAGCTGGCATGATTAAGAGAGATGACTCTTCAGCCAGTAATTTCTCATCTGCCAGACCAGGGTTATCATCCTGGGACTGAGATGATCTTGCTCATCTCTGGATTGTCAGTACCTAAAATTACATATTACACATGTTAAAATTCTCTACATGCTTTTTAAGTCATATGAAATTAGAAGATGCGGTGTGGTATGCAAGAAAAGCCTGATTTTCTGTTTCACTAATGCAATTTTAGGAAAAATAGTGCCCTAGTCAGAAGATTTGCTTTAGACCTCACAATTCCTAACAAGTCAAAGACAAAAAATAATGAGGCACGAAGATGAAACTCATCATTTTCAGTAAAAGTAGTGTGTGTTAAGATAACATTATAATGCCCATAAAAATGTGAGACTGTAAGGTGAGATGTTTTGTTTTCCATGCCTGTCCCAAAGGAACAGCTATAAGGAAGATGGAGAAAAAACTGCAGTATCTGAATGTAACATATTCATGTCCAGAAAATGAAGAAATCAGCCAGGAAGTCAGCTGTGACAAATCACAAGATCTGGAGTATAAATAGGCATTTAATTGTAGAAATCAAATGTGTTCATATAGAAAGTTGCTAGAATGGTCAGAATTCACCCAGTATGCCTTGAGGTAATCAAGAAACAAGTCACTGTGACCAAGCTTGTCCTTATGATTTATTAAGATATCTGTAGCATAGTAAGGTTTATTTAAGTAACTTTAAACCATGAGTGGTGTATTGAAGAGGAGTAATTACCCTTATCAAGAATTGTCTAACAATTAGTAAATATTACAAAAACAGAAAAAATACACTTTCGGTCAGATAGTTTAACTGTATGAGTTTAACAGAAAAGCTGTAACAGTCTTTTATAGGAAGCTTATAACTGAATACATAAGCAAATGAGTTTTTAAATTAATCATAGATATGATACTACTTGGGAAAAGTTGGTAAACAATTTAAATGTTTCCAGCCTAGTAAAAGTACAAAGAAGAGAAAATCAAATTGTTGATCTTCATGACATTTTTTAAAAATTAAAATATCAGCAAATCCTTAACATTTTTATTATTATTTATTTATTTTTTTATTGAGACATAGTTTCGCTCTTTTTGCCCAGGCTGGAGTGCAACGGCGCGATCTCGGCTCACTGCAATCTCTGCCTCCCAGGTTAAAGCGATTCTCCTGCCTCAGCCTCCCAAGTAGCTGGGATAACAGGCGCCTGCCACCATGCCCGGTTAATTTCTTGTATTTTTAGTAGAGACGGGGTTTCACCATGTTGGCCAAGATGGTCTCGATCTCTTGACCTCGAGATCTGCCCGCCTCGGCCTCCTAAAGTGCTGGGATTACAGGTGTGAGCCATCGCGCCCGGCCAATCCTTAACATTTTTATTGTTTTCAAGTTGACACCTATTTTCTTTAAGGTAAAATATATGGGTAGAAATCCTGTTAGAGGTGTTGACGTTTTCCACTACCATAAACTGTCTTCTTTTCTGTTTAAACACTTGAATAGTTTTTCAAAATCTGTATTCTGGAATGTCAAGGAAGCAATATCCTTGAGATTGTCTTAGGAATGATGTAAGACAATATTTAAAATGGAAAATTCAATGGATTATCAACTTATAATTTTGAGATGAAAATAACATTTATTATCTATTGATGGATAATATGAAAATAACTTAGCCCTATCCTGAAAAGCTCACAGTGTTTAAACAGGACTTCTTGTTCCAGTGGATAACTTAGTGAAAACTGTTCAAAAGTAAATTAGAATCTAAATATATAGCTCAAACACAGATTATTTGTTATTGTGAAAGTGAGCATCAACTACTATGCAAGGCATACATAGACCTCATCTGCAGGCAATGATGTTTTACTGAAGTAAGATAAGAGGCGCTTGCTCCCTTAGTTATAAAATAACAAAAATAAATTCTAACAGACATTTCTAGGTTAGAAGTGGATTAAACCTGGGCTGGATGTGAATTAAAGAAACTCTGTTCAAAGACTCTTTATCACTCCTCAAAGTTCTTATGATACTTAGCAAAATGAAGCACAACTTCTACCCTTACAGGAAACGTCTTGGAATTCTACCCAATCATTACTCTCCTTGCTTAAAGCTTTATGGACTGTCCAACAGAGATGCTGTGTTTCTTCTTCTTCTTTTTTTTCTTTTCTTTTTTTTTTTTTTTTTGAGATGGAGTCTCGCTCTGTCGCCCAGGCTGGAGTGCAGTGGTGCGATCTCAGCTCACTGCAAGCTCCTCCTCCCGGGTTCACGCCATTCTCCTGCCTCAGCCTCCCAAGTAGCTGGGACTACAGGTGCCCGCCACCTTGCCTGGCTAATTTTTTGTATTTTTAGTAGAGATGGGGTTTCACCATGTTAGCCAGGATGGTCTCGATCTCCTGACCTCGTGATCCGCCCATCACGGCCTCCCAAAGTGCTGGGATTACAGGCGTGAGCCACCGCGCCCAGCCGTTTCTTCTTTTTATGCTGCTCTTTTCCACTTAAATTTGTTAGCCTCTTCACTTAGTTTTCTTACATTATCAGGGATACTTCAGGGGGAAGACGGTAGAAAAAAAAAACATGTTGATGAAATTACTTTGTCAAGTTTAACATGCTTTATAAGGCAACAATGTTAATTCTTAGACAAGAATCTTAAAATGAGTACACAAATAAGTCAATACTTTAAAATAAATACCCAACAATGTAACACCACAGACATCAGTTAAAATTTATTAGAGCTTAAAGCTTTTACTTTCAACAAATCATATGTTTTTTTTTTTTTTGGAAAGCCTATGTTAAAAGGTATTCCCATTGGGTTTCCTAGTGTCACATTGTGTAATTTACAGCAGGTCTTCTTAATCTCTCATTTTTACGCAAGTAAATGGAGAACCTTATTTAAACAAAGATGTACTAATTATTTGATGCAAAATGATGTTTGTTGAAGTAATGACTTGCTGAAATAAATATTTTAATAGATATTTTAAATGAATTTCCAAATAGTTGCAGAGAACACTAAATCTAAAAGAGAATTGTAGAATGCTCATATTTTTAAAGTTATTACTATTTTTAAAACTGAAATCCTGTATGTTATGCTAAAAGTCAACAGAGATATATCATCTTGAATAAATCACATTCTGCAAATGGGTAGAATTCAGCCTGACTTGTTAAACAAAGCTATATCTATCTTCTTGTCTGTTTTCTGTCTTAAATAAGACGAACAAGAATGAAATAAAAACTATGTAATACATTTAACATAGTGCTACAATACAGAATATAATGCTCATTGCCATGTTATTTTATCTCACACTTTCTCAACATTTTTCTCCCTCTATTTCTCTTCTGCGTGAAAATATTTCTGAGCCTAGTACCACAGTTACCTGCAGGAAAACTCTTCATTGTGACGCACCTTCGCAATGCCTCAAGCATTATGCAGTTCATATTCTGTTACCAAGTATTATCTTCTGTAGTATACCTTTATCTATTTATCTATATATGTGTCCACATGTCTATATGTCTGTTAATATAGATATACAGATATGTGTGTATACATATGCATTGCATATATATAGCTACTGTCTTTTATATATACATATGTATATATTTTACTTTCCAAACAAACTCATGAAGCCCTATATTATATCTTATAGCCCTAGTCCAGAATTGTATATGCACAAATGGGCAATACATAGACACACATGCACACACACATACACACACACAATGTGATCAATTAAATTCACTATTTGTTTAAGTAACTATGTATTCTTCGTCTATGGCAAAGTGACAGAAGTGTTTAAAAAGAACAGATAGAAATAATCTGTTTATATTAGTGTAAATTTTATAGTTTATTACACATAAAGACGTCACCAAACTGGAAATCAAACAAGAGAAAATTGGTTGAAGCCACAACAAAGAGTACTTTGCTCGGTAATTATAACACAATCTCTTAGAATAAAGCCATATTTGTAGGAAAAGTCTATCCCATACATGATTGGTTTAGTAATTTCCTTCATCTTTGTAATTAATTTACAACATAATACAGCCTGCAAAAACTATACAATTTAAAAATGAAAATATCTATATAAAGAGTAATATGCTTCCTCTGATATCTTTTATTGAAACAGTCAATACTGCAATGAGGAATTTCATCTTGATTTGGATTTGTAGAGTATGTGCTCACTGGAATATACAGATGTAAATGTCACTACATGTTAAGTGTCAAGTGTAAAACAGGAATATTAATTATCTTACAAGTTACACAATAACCTTCAGTACACAAATATTTGCTTTAGGCTACACAACTTGATGTCCATATTAAATTCAAGCAGTAGGAGAAAATACTAGCAGGAAACACGTTTCCAAAATGTTTAAAAAAAAAAAAAAAGTCGCAGAGGTTCAGCTAAAAACAATGCAGTTCAAGTGAAATTAACAATATGTTTTTCCTTTACAACATTCCTTCACAGATGGAGTCTGTCTCCTCATCTGTTTTTCCAGCATTGGAGAATCAGGGAAGAATAGTTGGTGTCATTATGGGTTTATACTTTTTACAGACCTGCACTTTTAAAGCTTTTATATAACTGACCGTTTCCACTCATTCAGAAGAGATTATTTGGTGGCTACATGCACTGGTGCCCAAATTCATGTCTGAAATGATTAAGAGAGGAAGGGTGATATTGATGGCTTTATTTTCCTGCCATTTCAACCACAATAAAATTTCACATTTTCTTATTGTTGGAGCTAAATTGCTTTTCCTTTCAAGTGAGAAATACTGACATTGGATCTGTAGAACAGAGGAAAAATTTTTGAAGGATACAGTATTACTTCATAGAAAAGAAGATATAATTAAACCACAGACTTGAGAATGCCACCAGTCTTAGAACTTCCAGAGTCCTTAGGAGGAAAAAAGCTTACCTATGTTTCTCTAGGACATTACCATTAATCTACCTCAATGCAAAGCATTTTATTATAGTTTAAGTCACAAATTTCTGAAAGAGCAAATTTGATTGCCCTACTGTGGATCCGGCAAAACACTCATACATAGACAGCATGCCTTTGAATATACTTTTTGGGTGCCCATATCTACATACTTATTGATTGATTGGAATCATTACAAGAGAGGAGGAAATCATGCTAAATCAAGTAGAGAGCCTTAGTGCTTAAATTGAATGACATCTTTTGCACACTCACTTTTTGGTAACTAAGAGGTACCTAGATAAATAAATAGTTAGAAATTTAAAAACAACAATTAAACTGGCAGGAAATTTTAATACTGGATCTCATCTAAAGCATTTGTAGCTCTAAAGTGAACATATTAAAAAATGATATTGGGCATTTTTAATGCTATATTATCAAAGAAAAACAAAACCCAACAAAACAAGAGATCTAATATATATTTTTTGTAAACATATGAGCATATTGTGTATGTAAGTATCTTACTGTGTGCCTATCAGTATCCATTCTTTCTCCTTTCTACCGGGAAGTCTGTTTTGTCCAGGTGTTCACACTTTCCTTCATGTAACCTATATGCATCAAGAGAAGATAAAATGACCCCCTACATGGAGAAAGAAGGGGTGACAAGCCTGAGGCCATTTCCATTTCCAGTGATCATTGGTCAGCTCAGAATAGGGAGAAATTGCCCTTTTGCTATGTTTGTATATTTACTATGATAAATATTTTTTTACAATATATTAATAATTTTGCTATTAATTTAAATGTTATAATTCAACATCCCCATATATTCTATCTTGCTCTTCAGGAAGGAATAGAGATGTAATTAGAGTGTGTCCCGAAGCATTCAAAACATTCATCATTCAAATCTCAGTAAGTAAACAAAATGCCTGTTTGCTCTTGCAATGCATTTAAACAAGATGTACTGCTTATTAGTTTATAGAAGTTGCACGTGTTTATGTGTTCAGTGCTGGCAGAACCTCTGATACTATCTTATTTTCTTCCCTGTTTGAAGGCAGAACCAGTGCTAGCACATCTCAAAAAACAAAACGTATCTGTGATTTTGTATGTAGGTGTGTTTGTAGTTGGCTATATCATAATAAACTTATTCCTTTAAATATATGATATATTTTTAAATTCTGCAATTATGAAAAAACACATTTAAGCCAATAGTAAACATACAGACTCTAGAAAAAGAACCAGAACTTCAGAAAATATTTAACGTTAAATTATAGAAAACAATTGCATCATATTATTTAGTTCAGTATCTTAAGTTACAGAAGACTTTCAGTAAATTTGGGATGTATCCCAGAGGGTTCTTAGGATACAAGTTCCCTTTGGAACTTGATATAAGATAACAGCAACAATGATGTCATCTAATATTTATTAAACAATGAATGTGACAAATATGTGCTAAACACTTTACACATATAATCATATTTAATGACTCCGAATACATAGATAAATGCTATATTCAGTCTACACACATGAGGAAACAGATATTGTCCAGATCATTAACTTATTTGAAGTCTCAAAACTAACAAGGCTAGACTTCACTAAGAACAGAAACGCCGTTCTCTACTTCCTCTCTACAGTGGTCTTAACTCTCATATGCAAACAGGAGCAGAGCTGGGCAGGTGAGTTTTCTAGGCTGGATGTATTGTTTAGCCAATTAATTCCTTACATTGAGAGAATTTATGATCTTCCCATATCAGTGCCTCAGGGAAAAAGCAAGACTGGGTGAGGAATCAGTTAGCTGTGAAAGAATAGTGACATTGTGTAACTGATAAGAGTGAAAAAAAGAACCATTAAGTTTAAGGATAACAGTTAAAGAGAATTTAACAAAAGCATCACTCTGAGGAATAAGGGGGTGTTAAATTTTTAATTGAGCTATGTAGATACATATTTCCTGGCAGAGAAGGCACTCTGTGACTTAGAAAAATAGAAAAATTATTTCAGAGCGTCAGCTGCCTTTATAAAAAATTTATCATAGATTGTTCAAGTTAATGCTAGAACCAAAAATTAATGGTCAAGTTTAACACAGAACTTCTAGTCTGTCCATAGTGACATCTTATCATTATATGTGAAGGTATAGAAATGACTATGGAGGAACTATTATATGTTCTTCAAAACATTATTATCATTTGTTATGTAATTTGATTTTTAAAGCCATTTTTTAAAGAATTAATCCTGAAGATTAAGGCATAGATCAGAAATAATGATGCCTTACAACTATTATGTACCCATAAAAATTAAAAAGAAATAATGATGCTATTTTTTGTCATAAAAGGAAGAAAAAATTAAGAACAGTATAATGCTGTTTAAGACCATTCAATAATGTCGACAGGTGGCTCCATTTTGGGGTTAACTCTACAATACAAATACAAAACCCATTCATAGATAGATAGATAGATAGATAGATAGATACTATGAAATTTGTTTTATTTACTTATAGTAACATGTAACTTTGCATGTATTCTACTTCTCCTATTCCATGATCATCTTTTAAAATGTTGTTTCCTTACACAAATCTCCAATAGTAAAAATAAATCACAGGTACCACATAGTTGCATTTTAGTATCCACACACAAACAACAACAAAAACAAACATCCTGTTCTCTTACAGGATGCAATTTGCAGGGCATGCCACTCAGGTTAGGGACAGTGCCAAAATTGCCATGACATCATATCATCTTCTCATTTTCAAGGATGCATCTAGATAATTTTCAACTCTCTGTCAGGTGATGTCAGTGAGAGTCAGGTTCTATCAGTGACGAAAAAAAATACATCACTGGTATTTTCATAAAAAATACTGTCAGATACCTATCTCCATAATCAAGAAAAGTACTCAGGCAAGTACTCAGAAATCTAGGCTCTGCCTCTTTCTGTTTTCTCCATTTCACTATTCAACAGAAATAATAACAGGAGAAACCTATAAAACATTGTAGAGGAGAACAATGTTACAAGAGCAACCAGTTTTTAATTTCTTTGGTGTGCTGCTCATACTTAATCTGCCAAAGGTTGGAATTGTGCTTCATATGTGATCTAGTATGAATTCATGGAAGGGACCTTTGCCTTTGAATTTGAATGGGTCCGAGTTTAAATTCTACTTAAACAACTTTTAAATTATGAGACTTTGGGACAGTTACATGCTCTCTGTAAGTTTATTTATATCTCCTGTAAAATTGACATATACACTTTATGGCAGATTTACTTTGTAAGAATGAGAGAAAATACGTTAACTAAATATTAAAGTAAGGGCTTAAAAATTGCATATGTTATTATTATGGTTACTTTATTGATTTTTAAAAGTAATTAATCATTTGAAAATAATTCTCTCAAATAAAGATGATTGAAAACAGTAAGATCATTTCCCAGAGAGCATACCTTCCTGGAGATGCTTTCTAAAAGATAAAAAAGGACAATATACATTTTCATTTTAAGTTACTTTTGAGCATGTGAATATTTTAAATGGAAAAATATGAACAAAATTAACAGTCCTGAAATTCAGAAAATCCTTAAAAATCACAAAATCAAATGCTTTAACCACAATGAATTCCTTCTGGATTGCTACTTAAAAAAATAAGATTTTCAGAACAATATGTAGTGGACAATAACAAACACTATAGTCCCATAAATACAGATTAGTCCCCTGTAACGCTTAGAATCAGAAAACATCTGCTCTAAACTTAAACAGAATCACATCCTGTGGTTGTGAAAAAAAAACCTCTTGAGTAATATGCTTCAACTTCAATATCACCTTTGAATAGAAGGTGGACTTTTAATTGAACTTTTATAACTTGCATGCATCTATTGTGTTTATCTGTATTTTGTGTGAGGATTTAGTCAGAGATATCTGAATAAAAGAACAGATAGATGCTTTATTTAAATTTAGAGAGAATGAATACTACATGCAGAGCTCAATAAAGCAATTTAAATAAGCTTTCCATCTTGTATACATTTTATTTAGTGATATATTCAATTTAGGAATTCTAAAATAGTGAAAACTGTAACTATAAAACAACCAATCCTACCTATGTTTCTCACAGCTGTATAAGCATAAAAGTATGTTCTGAGAATATAGTAATTTTCAAGGTGCTGTTAAAGACGTAAATATTAAACCAAAAGGTGTTAGAACCCTAGAAGACAACCTACGTAATAACATCCTGGACATAGGAAACAGGCAAATATTTCATAAATAGACACCAAAAGCAATCGCAACCAAAGCAAAAATTGACAAATGGAATATAATTAAACTAAAAAGCTTTTGCACAGCACAAGAAACTATCAACATAGTACACAGACAACCTACAGAATGGGGAAAAATTATTGCAAACTATGCACCTGACAAAGGTCTGTTATCCAGCATCTATCAGGAACTTAACCAAATTTATAAGAGAAAACCAAACAACCCCATTAAAAAGTGGACAAAGGGCATGAACAGATACTTCTCAAAAGAAGACATAAATGTGGTCAACAAGCATATGAAATAAAAGTTCAATATCACTGATCACTAGAGAAATGAAAATCAAAACCACAATGAGACACTATCTCACACCAGTCAGAATGGCTATTATTAAAGTCAAAAAATAACAGATGCTAGTGAGGTTGCAGAGGAAACAGAACAGTTGTACACTGTTGATGAGAGTGTAAATTATTTCAACCATTGTGGAAAGCAGTATGGTGATTCCTCAAAGAGTTAATGGCATTTGCAGCAACCTGGATGGAATTGGAGACTATTATTCTAAGTGAAGTAACTCAGTCCCACTCACAAGTGGGAGCTAAGCTATCAGGAAGCAAAGGCATAAGAATACATTGGACTTTGGGGACTTAGAGGAAAGGACTTGTGGGGATGAGGGATAAAAGACTATGCATTGGGCATATTGGGTACAGTGTACACTGCTTGGGTGATGGGTGCACCAAAATCTCACAAATCCCCAATAAGAAGTTATTAATGTAACCAAACACCACCTGCTCCCTAAAAATCGATTGAAATAAAAAAAAATTTAAAAACTGCTCATTTAGTAAAAACTAATTTTTTTTAAAAAGCAGAACTATCATTTGACTCAGCAATCCCATTACTGGGTTTATACCCAGAGGAATATAAATCATTATACCATAAAGACACAGGCATGCAAATGTTTATTGCAGCACTATTCACAATAGAAAAGACATGGAATCAACCTAAATGACAATCAGTGATAGACTGGATAAATAAAATGTGGTACATATACACCATGGAATACTATGCAACCATAAAAAAGAATAAGATCATGTCTTTTGCAGGAACATAGATGGATTTGGAGGCCATTATACCTAGCAAACTAATGCAAGAACGGAAAACCAAATACCACATGTTCTTTTATTTTTGAGAGATAGTAACTAACATTTATTGGACAGGTCCTATTTATTACATGTTATGTATCACACTTAATGCTCAAAGTGGCCCTGCAAGGTAAATAATAACAATCCTCATTATATAAACCCAGAAAGACAGAAAACAGACCCAGACTGGCTAAGTGACTTTCCGAGAGCAACAAAAAAATATATATTAGTGCTGGTCGGGCACGGTGGCTCACGCCTGTAATCCCAGCACTTTGGGAGGCCGAGGCAGGCAGATCGCGAGGTCAGGAGATCAAGACCATCCTGGCTAACACGGTGAAACCCCGTCTCTACTAAAAATACAAAAAATTAGCCGGGCGTGGTGGCGGGCACCTGTAGTCCCAGGTATTCAGGAGGATGTGGCAGGAGAATGAGGTGAACCCGGGAGGCGGAGCTTGCAGTGAGCTGAGATGGCGCCACTGCACTCTAGCCTGGGCGACAGAGCGAGACTCTGTCTCAAAAAAAAAAAAAAAAAAAAAAAAAATTATTGGTGCTGAGATTCAAACACAGGTGTTTTTTGCCCAAGCCCTGAGTGTTTTTAATATATTAGTGGTTTCCATACCTGTACTTCCACATGTTCTCATGTATAAGTAGGAGTTAAACGATAAGAACTTATGAACACAAAGAGGAAAATAATAGACACTGGGGTCGGCTTGAGGTCGAGGATGGTAGTGAGGGGAAGGAGAAAAAAGATAACCATTGGTTACTGAGCCTAATACCTGGGTGATGAAATAATATGTACAACAAACCCCCATGACACGTGTTTATCTACGTAACAAACCTTCACATGTACCTCAGAACCTAAAATAAAAGTTGAAAAACTTAAACTTCCATTATTGATTGGAATCATTTTTTGAAATTTTCAACCTTCCCAAGAAAGAAAAGTAAACAAATCATTCATGATTCCAGGTAGGAAGAAGAATTATATTTGAAGGTGAAGATGAAAATATATTTTAAAGAAGTTCCCGTTGGAGTTGTCACAGACTTCAGTAGGCTCATAGGTTTATGATTTCTCTTCAATTCCTAGCGTAGGGTTTTTTTTGGGGGAAGGGGATCATTCTATATTATTGCTTTTGTGTATCCTCTTCCCTGGTTTAATTTTAGGATTTAAAGAAAAGTCATTTTTGCTATCCTCCTCTGTTTTACACCATAATGAAAAAGAATACAAAAAAGATTTTCAAAATCTTTCAACTATTTTCTTTATTGGTTCTGTACATATCTCCATGTAACAACAGAGGTGAAAGAAGCTAAAATATTTATAGAACTGAATATATATAAAATACAATAGTTATCCGGCATTATTACTAGAAAATGACAACGAAAAGACAGAAACTTGAGGTTATGTGCCCCTTGACACAAGGGGCTACAGTGAGTGAGAGTTACTGTTAATACGACTTGTCCTCTATGGGAACTCTACATTCCAAGTTGCTTAGTGCCCATAACTAAAGTAGAAAGCCTCAGACAATGGCTTGAAGTATCAGAAGATGGAGTTAGAAAGTAGCCAGAAAGGCTGGGTTTTGAGATAAGAAATCCCATAGAGAAAGGAGCTCTAGCTGAAGGATCCCCAAAGTATACATGTAAGCTCTGCACAAATCCTTAGATTACACCTAAACTGTCCATGCCTATGAAAAATTCTAAGGTTCTCAGTAAAATGCCACAGCAAAAGACTGCAGGAGCTGAACAGCTATAGCTGTTGCAAAATGCATCTTTTGGTTTCGGAGTTCAAAAATTATTCGGCTACTGGAACAAAGATCAACACAGTTAAGAAGAAGATAAAGGAAGCCAGAAAATCAATCATTTTCTTATATACAAAGGAATGGGGAAAAGTTCCTTATTTGAAAGAAATAGCCACTGAGAGAATATAAATCTGAGGTGATCTTCATAAATATTTAGTGTCCTAATAGGAAATGAGGCCATAATTGTTGACTAAAAGGTAGTTATCTATAAAAATAGGAAGTAAAAAAAAAAGTAAAGTAAAAATGGAAAGTCTAGAATGAAAAAATGCAATAAACACAATGAAAAAATAAAGAGATGGGCTTACCACAAATGAGAGAGAGCAGAAAAAGCTTGAAATGAGAGACAGATCTATTGAAATGAAACTATGTAAAGAATATGAAAGAAAACAAGTAGTTCACACACACAAATATCTTACTTTTGCATAATATCAAGCAGTCTGACTTACATACCATTGGATTCAATATAAAATAAAGAGAAAGGCAATGGTGCAGATAAATAAATAATGTTAATTATTTTTCCAATTTTGGTGGAAAAAAATCAAATTTTACGTTCTGCCTATATGCCATTACAAGTCCAATAAGCTCAACAAAACTCCAGGTACATTAAAAAATCCTGCTACAACATAATCAAAATATCTACAATCAAAGATAAACAGAACTCACTGAAAGAAGAAAGAGAAAAAATGTGCATTGCCCATAGAATCACAGTAATATGAATTGTGACTGACTTTGTATTAGAAACAATGGAGACAGATAATGATGCAATGCCAACTTTAAAGGTCCAGAGAATAATGGTAAAACAATAATCAACCTGAAGAAAAATGCTTACAGATATAAGCTTGCATATACAGAAATGAACAACAGTAAGAACTGGTAAATGTTTGGGTAAATAAACAAGACTTAAATTTTATTTGATTGAAATAATTAAAATGTATTTGCCAGATTATCCTGTTATTCTTTCTCATTCTACTCGTCTTTCTTTTTTTTTTTCTATTTTCCTCCAGTCCTGAAAAATTATATTCAACAACGTTTAGGTAAGTATAACAATAGTGAGCATCTGTGCCTAAGTGAGGAAAGAATGGGTGGTAGTTGGGATGGGGCTTCAGCACCTGTGTGGGATGAGGAAGGCCTGTGTCCAGGAGGGCACCCAGATGTGGATGTTGCATACTGAAGAGAAGAGGAGGGCATCCCGATAGTGTGGCAGCCTGCCATGTGGTGTTGGAGCATGAGTCACTTAGAGAGGACCTCAATATGAGAGACTGGGCCAGTGATAGTAATCCAAGTTTTAGCAAAGTGATGAAGGTGTAGATGCAGGAGGGAGTGGCACATGGTATGAGGTCAAAGCATATGAACATTATGGAAAGTGCTTGCCTATGAAGGCTGTCCAGTGCTGAGACATTGAAGTCTAAATGAAGTATGATGGGCATCCTCTTACAAAGATGATGCTATATAAGGTACTGGAGGCTGTGTTGCAAGAATGTGTTCTCCCTTGGAACAATCTTTCGAGGGGTGTCAGAATCCTACTGTGATAAAGAAACACCTTTCCTCTGTTGAATATATTTTTGAAGAATAGTGAGAGACCAAAAATAAATTTTTGTTCTAATCATATTCTGAGTCATGTTCAATGTGCTTGTTATATATATAAATATCTTGTCTATCAAGTTCTTGTCTGTTTAAAGACATGAGAAAAATGGAGCTCAGACAAGAAAGTAACTTTCCCAAAGTCACGCAGTAAAAGCGCCAACACTAGAACTTATTTCTCCTGAATCCATAGTTCAATACCCATTTTATTATTACCACATCATGATGTAAGATCAGTTTCCAAATGCAAATTATAAAATAACTCAATGTGAATAAATAGTAAAATGCAGACAGTTTTTAATGTTAATGTTAAATATATTGACTATCTTTTTGGCTCAAAGACTGTGGCAACTTCCCATTAAACATAAAAAACAAAAACATTTTTATATGATAATTTATAAAATACAAAAAGTTTTTCATATGCATTATCAACTGTAATAAAAATTAGCATAGACTAATTATTATTTTATTTTTATTAGAGAGATGCTAAATTTAAGTAGAAAGGGATTAATATAGCCTGTTTTCATGATATTCATACAAGAATATCCAGAGAATTGAGAGAAAACTTTCAGTCATCTTCTAAATTAGACTGTCCAAAATACATGAGGGGTGAAGGAGTGAAGAATATGAACAGTGAATTCACAAAGAAATTGTTAGTTGATTTGTAGATCCTGATTCACTTCCTGAAATGAGGTTTGGGTTTTAATATAGCCTCTTTTAGTAAGTTTCTCCAAAGAATTAAAAATAGAATTCTAAATATTTTGATGTGTTTTTGAGAGGTATATTTTAAAGGGGAAATTCTATTACCCAAAAAGTGGCAACAATTCTAAATACCTTGTTTCTAGAGTCTCACATCCTTGCCAATTTTATAATATTCTTTTATCATCTCATTCATTATACAAATGTCTCAACTTTCCCAAGTCCTGCTGGCTATTGTCTTATCACCCATTTCCCTCAAAATACTTTTTCATTCATTTTTAAATAGCCTTTTTAACATAGAGTGACCACTTTCTACTCTTTGATTTTTTGCCTTCTCAGTAAATAAATACCTTATCAGTAATGCAAACAACAAACTCTGACTAGTGTTGCCAGACTTTTCTTTAGTTCAGCTAAAGATGGGGTTCTTCGTCCCATGGCCTTGAAAATTCAGGCTCTCAGACAAATTTGAATGGTGAGTAAGACAAGGATTTTTTGTATTTGTTTTTGTTTTTTTTCCTAAGACAGAGTCTTGCTCTGTCGCCCAGGCTGGAGCACAGTGGCATGTTCTTGGCTTGCTGTAACCTCCACCTCCTGGGCTCAAGGGATTCTCCTGCCTCAGCCTCCCGAGTAGCTGGAATTACAGGAACCTGCCACCAGGTCTGTCTGATTTTTGCATTTTTAGTAGAGATGGGGTTTCACCATGCTGGCCAGGCTGGTCTCGAACTCTCTCTTATTGAGTACAAAGGGGAAAAATAAGGGGGAAACAGGGACTATCACCACGCCAGAGTCCCTGCTAGAGTGCTTCCCTTCTGGCCATCAATGCCATCCCCATCAAGCTACCAATGACTTTCTTCACAGAATTGGAAAAAACTACTTTAAAGTTCATATGGAACCAAAAAAGAGCCCGCATCGCCAAGTCAATCCTAAGCCAAAAGAACAAAGCTGGAGGCATCACACTACCTGACTTCAAACTATACTACAAGGCTACAGTAACCAAAACAGCATGGTACTGGTACCAAAACAGAGATATAGATCAATGGAACAGAACAGAGCCCTCAGAAATAACGCCGCATATCTACAACTATCTGATCTTTGACAAACCTGAGAAAAACAAGCAATGGGGAAAGGATTCCCTATTTAATAAATGGTGTTGGGAAAACTGGCTAGCCATATGTAGAAAGCTGAAACTGGATCCCTTCCTTACACCTTATACAAAAATCAATTCAAGATGGATTAAAGACTTAAATGTTAGACCTAAAACCATAAAAACCCTAGAAGAAAACCTAGGCATTACCATTCAGGACATAGGCATGGGCAAGGACTTCATGTCTAAAACACCAAAAGCAATGGCAACAAAAGCCAAAATTGACAGATGGGATCTAATTAAACTAAAGAGCTTCTGCACAGCAAAAGAAACTACCATCAGAGTGAACAGGCAACCTACAAAATGGGAGAAAATTTTTGCAACCTACTCATCTGACAAAGGGCTAATATCCAGAATCTATGACGAACTCAAACACATTTACAAGAAAAAAACAAACAACCCCATCAAAAAGTGGGCAAAGGACATGAACAGACACTTCTCAAAAGAAGACATTTATGCAGCCAAAAAACACATGAAAAAATGCTCATCATCACTGGACATCAGAGAAATGTAAATCAAAACCACAGTGAGATACCATCTCACACCAGTTAGAATGGCAATCATTCAAAAGTCAGGAAACAACAGGTGCTGGAGAGGATGTGGAGAAATAGGAACACTTTTACACTGTTGGTGGGACTATAAACTAGTTCAACCATTGTGGAAGTCAGTGTGGCAATTCCTCAGGGATCTAGAACTGGAAATACCATTTGACCCAGCCATCCCATTACTGGGTATATACCCAAAGGACTATAAATCATGCTGCTATAAAGACACATGCATACGTATGTTTATTGCGGCATTATTCACAATAGCAAAGACTTGGAACCAACCCAAATGTCCAACAATGATAGACTGGATTAAGAAAATGTGGCACATATACACCATGGAATACTATGCAGCCATAAAAAATGATGAGTTCATGTCCTTTGTAGGGACATGGATGAAATTGGAAATCATCATTCTCAGTAAACTATTGCAAGAACAAAAAACCAAACACCACATATGCTCACTCATAGGTGGGAATTGAACAATGAGATCACATGGACACAGGAAGGGGAATATCACACTCTGGGGACTGTTGTGGGGTGGGGGGAGGGGGGAGGGATAGCATTGGGAGATATACCTAATGCTAGATGACGAGTTAGTGGGTGCAGTGCACCAGCATGGCACATGCATACATATGTAACTAACCTGCACAATGTGCACATGTACCCTAAAACTTAAAGTATAATAAAAAAATAAATAAAAATAAAAATAAAAATACTCTAACAGTTCTCAAAAAAAAAAAAAAAAAAAAAAAAAACGGAATCCCAGGTTCCACACAGGAAAAGGAGGGGCCAGGCTCCTCCCTACTACAAACATCCTGAACTTCTTGAGGCTCCACCCAGGTGGGCAGGCTTTTTGGAGTTTCTCCAGGTACCCCCTCCCCACTGGCTGTGTCACTAGGAGGCAATAGAAGGGGGGAAACCTGTGAATGCTTCTATTCTGACATCAACCCCAACTGGTTTACCATGATTCAGTTTGGGCGTTAGCCATCCAGAGTTATTGCAGAGCTCACAAGTGAAGAATCCATTTCACTACAAGATTAACTTCACTTTGAACAACATCTTTAAGTAGGATCCCCATGCCACCTGCTTTTCTCACTGACTGGCTATCAATTTAGGTTTCCAGACCTCTCTCAGGTTTAATAATTCATTAAATGACTAATAAAACTCAGAAAAACACCATACATATGATTACAGTTTTATTATAAAGGATACAACTCAGGAACAGCCAAATGAACAGTCGCATTAGACAAGAACTTTGAGGGTCTCAGATATAGAACTTCTGTGTGTTCTCTCTCTGGAATCAGAATGTATCACCCTCTTGGTACATCACTGTGCTCACCAATGCAGAAGAATGAGGAAGCCTCATTGAGAATCAGTGTCCAAAGTTGTCACTGAGGTCTTATTACCTAGGCATGGTTGACTGAATCATTAGTCACATGATTGAACTCAATCTCCAGCCCTTTCCTTCCACAGAGCCTGAGCTGGCTAAAAGTCCCAGCCCTCCAATCATTGTTTATCTGTTGATAAAACCACATTCTATAGCTATCTAGGGACTCAGCATAAGTCACTTCATTAGTGTATACTGAGTCATGATCCAATTTGTTCATGAATAACGAAGACACTTTTTTCACCTGGGTAATTCCCTATCCAACACTGGAGACAAATGCCAGTAAAAAACTTTGTTATATGACAACGTCCTTTTAATATTACAATTAATGGATTATATTTAAAGAAAGTCTTGTGGTATAATGCCTGCGAGAAGACATTATTGAAATGACTGAAAAAGAAAAGTGGTTATTTTTGGTGTTGATTCCAACAAAAAGAAACAAATGGAAATGCTAGAGTTTGGAGATACAGTAGATAAAATAAAAAAAAAATTATGGTGAGTCAACAGTAGATTTGAACTGGCAAAAGAAACAGAAAACTTTAAGAAAAAATCAATTGAAATTTTGCACTCCGAATAACAGAAAAAAATAATAAAAAGTGACTCAAAGAAATGTGGGATATTACTAAATGTGCAATGTACTTGTAATGCAAATAGTCATAAAGAGGAGAAAAGGAGAAAAAATATTTAAAGAAATAATGGTTTTACAGATTACAAATTGGTGAAAAAGTGTGTGTATGTGCATATGAATATATATGAATATGCGTGTGTATATTTATGACTATATGTGTGTGCATATGTGCATATGTTTACACACATATATTCATATATATATTCATATATATGCATACACATTATACAGTATATGCATATATTTATATATAGTAGGTTGGTGCAAAAGTAATTGCAGTTTTTATCATTAAAAGTAATAATATATTGATATATACACACATACATATATACACATATATTCATACACACACACACATATATGAAAAACCAAATGAACTCTAAATAGAATAAATAAAATGAGGTCCACAACCACATAGCATAGTAAAAATGTTGAAAGAGAAAGAGAAAATTTTGTAAGCAAAAAGAGAAAAAAATAACTTATCAAACAAAGTGAACCTCAATAAGATTAACAGTTTACTGAAGTTAATAGAGCCCAGAAAGCAATGACGTGACATATCCAAAGTGCTGAAGGAAAATAAAGAACCACCACCAAAAATGTTACATAAACAAACTTATATTTACAATTGAAAGAGGAAAAAAGTTAATTCCAAATAAAAACTGAGAGAATTCACTGCTAGCTGCAGAGCCTTATAAGAATTAATAAAAGAAGTTCTAAAGGTATAAAGCAAATGACCCAAGATGACAATTTAAATCGACACACAAAGAAACAGAGTAACGGTAAATGTAATTTAACGATATGACATAGCATAAATGCAAATTTTTTTTCTTCTATTAACTAATTTAAAAAGAATTAAAGCCAGTATTCTTACTATTAGGTCTCTATCAATAAAAATGTAATATTTGACAATTACAACACAAAGGAGGTAGGTGGAAATTAAGTTGTAGTTCCATAGGGAAATAACATCAGATGGTTACTCAAATTCATAAGAACAAGTGAAGAGAAGTAGAAATGGTAAATAAGAAAATTAATATAAAAACTCTATAAATATATACTTGCTTTCATTTTTTTCCCTCAGCTTCTTTAACAGGCCTGAAATTAAATGAAGTAACAATTATAACAAAGTATCGTTGGAGTTGTAAGACATTTACATGTAACGTGTATAACAGCAATGGTACAAAAGTGGGAAGAGAGAATAAATCTATATAAAAGTAACATTATGCTCAATTAACATATTCAACTATAAAAAACACATTTTTAATGAACTCACTTACATGAAGTATCTAAAATAGTCAATAGAGGATTAGTGATTACTTAAAGCAGGAGATAGGGAAGAGGGTATGATGCTTAAGGGGTAGAAGGTTATGTTTCGGTGTGGTGAAACATTCTAAAATTGAATATGATTATTGATTAACTCTGTGAAATACTAAGAATCATTACACCCTGAGTGAATTTTATTATATGTAAATTAAATCCAAATAAAGCGTATTTATATATATTTACAATGCATAAAGCATATATATGTGTGTACATCTGTCAAATTAAAATAGAAAAATTTCAGTACCCTTGACACACATTTGTAAGCATGATATCATTTTAATAAAATTTTGACGTCTAGCCTATAAGGTAGGCTTTTATTCATTTAGACTTGACCAAGATAAAGAAAAAGATATGTAAAATTTTTATGGTTTTAAATCATCATTGGTATGAGTAAAAACTGAAGTAAAATGCATTAAAATAGGTTCATATTGTTAAGAAAAAAACAAGAATATTTTAGAATATGCAGAGATTAAAAGTATAAAAGTAACGACGTAAACACCCTTAAAACAAAAAATGATTAGTGTTCCAGTAGGAAAAAAAAAATCAAAGACACAATGGAATAAAACCTTTCAGACTAAAAGAAATAGAAAATTCTCAAAACTGAAACCTCACAAAAATTGAACAATTTATGTATTAAATATAAATGAATCAAACTTGGAAATTAACTGTAATTCTATGAAATTAATGTTTTGTTTTGTTTAAATCCTGGGTTTGAGTATAGCAAGGAGAGTGAACCAACATATAAGTATGCACATATATACATTTCCAGCCTTGTTCACTATTCTAGATTTGTACTTTTGGATTTCTTATTTATATGATACCATGTTGCAGACTTTAATATTTTTCTGCTTCCTCTGACCTAAGTTTCCTAAAATTTCTTTCTAATCTTAATACTAGATATTCAATATTTTAGTTTTGATTAATTGGATTTACTCACAGATTTATGTCACCAAGGAAAGAGTAAATAATAACCTCCATATTATTTTATGACACTGTGATACATTTCAAAATATATTTATAAGCTGTGTAACAAAGTGTCTGAGACAGATCAATAAGTTTGGAGAATTTTGCTGCTTTTACTTTAATACGTGTCCTGCCATATATCCAGGATCTCATACTGCTTTTGAGCTGTCCAAAGGTTTCCAAGATAGATTATTTCAGTCTATGTACATCATGTTCATATAAAATATTTTAAATATTTCACTATAACACATTTCCCTCAATTGAATTTGTCTACCACTTAAAAAAAGTAGCAATCTGTTGATCAGCATTAAGGTGTGAGAAACTGGCATGTAGCCTTCTTCCAAGATATCAATATTATAAATGGTCAGTTTATTTGCTCATTAAAATCAGTTTGAAATGGCAACCTTTTAGGTAAGATATTTGAAAATAAACAATTCTTCCTGATAAATTTATCAGTTAACAGCCACAGACTTCTAGAATTGGTTCTGGATATGTAGTTGTGAGCACACAAACATTATATTTAGTAATAGATTCTAGTAAAGTAGACTGGATTCTCTTTCCAATGTAACTTGACACTTATCTCCCTTAACTTTTTTATCCTAATTCAATAAAGCAGAGCAAGCAAATTCATTTATCCATGGAAATAGGAACAGAAGAAGGAGCAAATTAAGAAAGAATGGATGGGAGATACATTTAAAATTTTATGTGAACTAATGCTTCTTAATCTTTAAATTAATGTACCTAGTGCTGACTTATCTGCATATCTTTATCTAGAGTCATGGTGCTTCAGGTCTAGAATAGCTTCCCCCTTGAGCTAACATATCTGAATATTATAAGATCTCCACATCTTTTCTAACTACACATCTTCATTCAGGCAACTTATATTGTTCGACTGAATAAACCCCATTTTTTTTTACAACAGTTTTCTTGTCTATGACTTACATAAACCA
Organism: Homo sapiens; assembly: GCF_000001405.40. NCBI lineage: Eukaryota > Metazoa > Chordata > Mammalia > Primates > Hominidae > Homo > Homo sapiens. Next base: position 116,692,504 of record NC_000004.12, read on the forward strand.
AATTGTATAAGAATTTCAATAGACACTTAACTACTCATCACAAACCCACAACAGTAAACATGCTAAGTTGCTATTTGAAATAAATATTTTCTTAGAAGATATCAGTTAAACCAATGCAATTTCATATGCTTAAAAATACTCAAGACAATATATTTAGATTGTAAGGCATGTGCAATTGTGAACATTTTCAGAAATATATTTTATTTATTTTTTGCTTTTTTATTAATGAGTTTATCAATATTTTTTAGCCATCAATAGAAGGCAAAAGGCTTGAATGACAAAACATGCCAGTTGAGCATTTTTTTTCCTTTGGCAATGTTAGAGTTGAATCTATGGAAAATAAAAAAAGCTTGTAATGAAACATAAGTACTTGTGACAAAAGACATCATGGGCAGTTTTATGACAAAAAGACTGATACTTAATCACCTGAAGCTGCTTTTGTAGCCACTGCTGAGGCATGGTAGCATCACAGTCAGGGAGCAGGATGCCTGTCAAGATTGCAGTAAAGCAAACGGAATCACTGCCAATGCACTGCCTGTGGACAGCAGGTGAGCCTCATACCTTATTTATTTTATTTCTGTACCTTTTGATCTTGTGTTATGTGTAGAAAACACCAAAATTAAATCAATAAAAAAGAATATCTAGTGAAAAAATAATGCTATTAAAGAGATGAAAAAGAGGAAAATGCTTCTTGGAGTTTAAGCTACTAGTGAGAATCTTGCTGCAGAGGAAAGCAATGATTTATATTGACTATACATGAAAAGACTTTAAGCTTCAGAGAAACACAATTAAAACATTTTCATTTGAAAATGGTGAGGCAGTAGTAATAATTTTATAGTCTATATGACATTATATGTCCATATATTATACTAGAAAGCACCTTAAGCCAGTTAAGTCTCACTGCTTGTGTAACCTTGAATGAGTGACTTAACTTTAGCTGGTTTCCTTGTCTACAAAGCGAGAAAAGGACGTTGCTCCATTGTTTAATAAAGATGTAAGTTCGATAATCTATGTATAGGTCTTATCATATGCTAGATACTTGGGAGAGATGAGTTCCCCTCACATTTCTATGTATTACAGAAAAATCCAAGCATCCATTTCTGCACAGGGTCTCAACATCTATTCCTAATCCTCTTCAGAGTTGTTCAGTAAATATTTGTAGGATTAAGTTAATATATGAACAATTGTGTGTTCTAATTCTCACCCCTGCTGGAAAAATACAACCCTAGTGACAGATGACAAAGGAAGGCAGAAGCAGGAAGCTGTTCACAATATTGGAAGGAAGGTAATTAAATTTAAGATTTTCATTAATTTCTCAATTTATGATAATAAATATATTTGAGTGCTAATAGAAGTGAAGTGAAATTGTGTGGAGTTTTGAGTATCTTGCATTGCTGAAAAGCTTATATTTAGCCTCTATACATTTATAAAATAATATTCATATTAATAGGTACCATATATGAGCATTTACAATATACTCACTATAATAGGCACTTTAATACACTCCCTTTAATATACTATAGCTTATTGTCAACATTTAAGTTTAATATACTATATTGTCAACACTATCTGATATGGTTTGGCTGTGTCCCCATCCAAATCTCATCTCAAATTGTAATCCAAACTGTAATCTGAATTGTAATCCTCACATGTTGAGTGAGAGACCTGGTGGGAGGTAATTGGATCATGGGGACAGTTTCCCTCATGCTGCTGTAGTGATAGTGAGTGAGTTCTCGTGAAATCTGGTTGCTTGATAAGTGTTTGGCATTTTCTGCTTTGCGTTCTTGCTCTCTTGCCACCATGTAAGACATGCCTGCTTCCCCTTCGCCTTTCAACATGATTGTATGTTCCCTGAGGCCCCCCCAGCCATGCGGAACTGTGAGTCAATTAAAACTCTTTTCTTTATAAATTACCAAGTCTCAGAGAGTATCTTTATTGCAGTGTGAAAATGGACTAATTAACTATCTCACTTCATTTTTATGATAAATGAGATAAATTCTGAGAAATGTGTCATTAGGTGACTTTATTGTTGTGTGAATATCATAAAGTGTATTTACACAAACCTAAATGGCATAGCTTACTATACACCAAGGCTATATAGTACAGTCTATTGCTCCTAGACTATAAACCTGTGTGGCTTATTACTGTACTGAATACTGTATGCAATTATAATACAATAATAAGTATTTGTGTATCTAAACATAGAAAAGGTACAGTAAAAATATGGTATTATAATTTTATGGGACCACCATGTTGTATATGTGGTCCATCATTGATTGAAATGTTCTGTTCTTACTCAGTGCAATATCATATATATACTACAGACATATACACACTTGATATCTATCTATATCTGTATATGTCAATGTCTATCTCTATATATATCTTTATATACCATTTATTTTCCATCTGCACATTTTGATTTTCTATTGTGTTATCTACAGAAAATACCAGGCCTTTATATCACCAGAAAAGGACCTCCAGGGAGAAAATATTGCCATTAAAGCTATGAAAAAGGGAAAAACGTCTGTATATATATGTATATATTTTGATATTCTGGCTTACTTATAAGCTGTGTTACTGAGCCAGGTATTAAACTTACATCTGTTTAGCCTAAAAACACGTACTTTTCTTTTAGACTGTACTGTGAGCATTATAAATTTAAATCGAGGTGATAATTGAAGACAACATAAGTCCATTAAGGCTGTCTGTATAGAATTTGATACAATTTTAAAAACTAATGGAGCCCCTCTGCTAGTGCAAAGCTATCACTATACTATGTAGTGTAAAAAGTTGTCACTATATATTCATCTATCCTATTATATTAATAAAGAGAAGACAAAATTTACTTATGTGTTTATATTCACTTATTGCCTTAAAAATAACTCTTTTTATTTAAATGCTCCAATAAGTTATGAAAATCACCAGATCAAGTTAGGTAATTGTGTGGCCTATATAAATATTCTGTAATTTTCCCAAGAAAGTGAAAGAACAATTATACTGGGGGGAGAAAATTTTTGCATTCAGAGCTAACTGATTTGGTTAGATTTTACGTGGGCTAGGATAAATGAAAATAGAGTGAAAAAAGGAATTTTCTCTATAGATGTAATATAGATGTAAATTATTTTTCTTTTTCTTCTGAGACAGAGTCTCGGTCTATCCCCCAGGCTGGAGTGCGGTGGTGCAATCTCGGCTCACTGCAATCTCTGCCTCCTGGGTTCAGGCGATTCTCCTGCCTCAGCTTCCCGATTAGCTGGGATTACAGGTTGACACCACCAAGCCCAGCTAATTTTTGTATTTTTAGTAGAGACAGGGTTGGTCAGGATGGTCTCGATCTCTTGACCTTGTGATCTGCCCGCCTTGGCTTCCCAAAGTGCTGAGATTACAGGCATGAGCCACCACGCCCGGCCACAAATTGTTTTTCTACCAAACACACCATAAACATGAACTATAAAAGTTTTATCTGTGAAATATTTTCCTTTCACTGAAGTATGCTCTCAGACTTACAAGTCACTATGTTCGAATCTACTTGTTCAAAAACTATATAAAGTTAAGAAAGTACATTCAGAGGCATACCACTTTGCCTGTGGTGAAACTCATGTGTTACAGTAACTTTGTCTTTGCTAAAAGCTACCTCAAGTGACTGGAAAGGCTTAATTATGTACAGCTATACCTTCCTTCTGGCTCCCTTCTTAATTTTTTCTATAATAAAATCAAAGAAATCCCCATCCTCAAGTAGTTCTATGAAAATGAAAGTTCACATTTATAAGTCAGTGCTTGGGCAAATAATGTTTAATTAAAATGACACCAGTTAGGCGTGCTCCTGCTTCTATCTATGAAAAATTAACTGTAGAGAATTACCTTCCCACTGTAAAAAGCAAACTAAAAAAACCTGGAAATCCATTAAAAAGGGGTTTTACGTGTTTCCAACAGGTAAGAGAGGACTGTGATAGCTAACAGGAAAAAAGCAAAGAACTGAGGGCCTGGTGGCATCACTGAGCCATACAAATACAAAAGGGAACCCAAACAGAGGATAGAGGTTTCACTCAACGGAGGAGTCACTGATTGGAGTTTCAGGAAGCGTTTTGCCATTATGTTTAGACATCTATAAAACATAATTGCTCTCTTCGTTCTGAACAAGATGGAATATACACATTCCACCTACTCCTCACAGTACTTACAATAAATACCCTGGACAAAATTTATAAATCAAATGACAGGAGACTGAAAAGTGAAAAAGAAAAGGCAACTGGTGAGGAACTTGCGATATGAGGTGCAACATAGCAGTTAGTTCCCTATTTTGTTTTGTTTCTTTTTGCTTCCAATAAACCTAGAATATCAATATTCCATAACTTCAGCAACTGACTTCATGAATAAGTTCATATTATTTTTCTAAGATTTTTACACAAGAAATAACTTCTCATTAAACAAATGGGAGTAAAGAGAGCCTGGGTACAGGCTATCCTATCATAGAATATTATTAATGAAGACTCAAGGCACTGAGCATAAGAAAGCTTCCTCAGTTCTCTAAAGCTAATAATTTCCATTTCTACCAAACACTTGAACTCAACACAAAGAAGCCATTTTTTTTCCTACACTTCCAGACTTTCATAGTAACACTATTCAACCTTCAAATAAAGCCATTTGCTATAGTCAATTCTGTAGTAACTTGTGCTTCATTTTTATTTAACTGAAAACCAGGATGCATGACCAAGGGACATGTAAAGCTTTAAAACCTCACTACCCAGCTGGGTGGGTAACATAGCAGTTCACCTGCATGGTAGAAGCTCAGTTCTGAGGACAAAACTTCTCCACTGAGGAAGTAGCAATGTTCAGGCTGCTGATTCAGCTTCAGCTAATAATATTCAATCTTGGTGGAAGAACACTATTCAAGGAAGATAACAGACTTTGGTAGAGTCCTAAGTAAATTATGAAGACATTTTTCAGATGATACCTCCTGGAGCTATTGTTTAGGTTTCTGAACAGATTCCAGCTATGGCCAGCTCTCTGTTGTGTATTTCAACTTTACAGTTTCCTTTGAAATATTTTCTGATAAAGTTCCAAAAACAACCAAAATGCTGGAGCTCTAAACCCTAGAGAGAAAGTACTGTAATACAGCGATTCTCCGATTTACAGAAGGATTCCTGGGTTTTCATGCCAGGGTGGTGATTTCACATTTCATAATGACACTGTTGGAAAAGATCTCTACCAGGAAAGGAAAAAAAAAAAAAACTGATGGGAAATTTTATTTATTCTTGCACCTTGTTTCTGGCAAATATTAGACCCACACATAGAGTTAGTGCTTTTTTTTTCTTTTAATCTGTCATGCTAAAGAGGATGGCTCTATGGTTGTCAAGCCTTATGCAATTTCTGGCCATGTGAAAGAAAAGATGAACATTGTGGAAGTCATAGAGAGTGTTGATGAGAAGAATGCCGACACCCACAGAAGGTTGGCATTGCTTCAAAGTGGGAATCTGCCACACTCACTCATGACTTCTGTATCTGGAAATAGTATCTACTAACCCTGGTCAGCTCTCATGCCCTGTCACTTTGTGCTTTTACTTTTTGTCTTTCTTTAGCTTTCATTTCCCACATCTCCTCCCTAAGTCTAACTGGAATACAGGGTAAAGTGCATGACTGAAAATAGAAGATGTGCTTAAAAAAATCATTATAAAAAAGGTAAACAAGAAACAGAGAGCACTAGGTTGAACACCGGAGATCCAAGTTTTCCAGGGGCAGAGGTTTGAGGAGAAAGGAAATCAGTGAACATGAGTAGAGCTCAGTTGTCAGTGTACGGTGTTATGGGAGAAGAAAAAATGAAACTAAAGGACCAGGTAGATTACAAAGATAGAGAGAGCACTCAGCAAAATCATGGCACTCAATGACAGAGATGTTCTTACAAACAAGACAAAAGCCTTCTTACCTGCTATTGGATAGAGTAAGCGAGGCAGAAAGAACACCCAACTACTGGCATAAGTATGTGACTTACTGCAGCGCCTAAGGAAATGGCAAACCTAGTAAGAGAGGTTTGAATGACCCAGCTACATAGATTGGACATCCTTAAGGAGGAATTAAAGGAAATTATTTCATAAAATCAACTCAAAATGCAGAATCTGATTTATATTTGTAATTATGTTGTCCATTAAGATCTTGAAAAGAAAGTGTTTCTTTGTGTACTAGTAAATATATTTAAAAAACAAGAAAATATAAGAATGTGGTTTCTTAATGACTTGATTTAAGCCATATTTCAAAGTGGCTGTTTTATGTCAGTATAGTTAGAAAATAACTCAATTCTCCCTCTTTACTTTCACTGATTTAAACAAAAAAGAAATCCATCTCAAACCAAATATCATACCAGGTTTGAATGAAATCTGATAGTCTTCCCAAAAGATAAAGTTTTATAGATTTCCTAGGAGCTATTCACCTCTACTCTGAGCTTAGGTTGGTGTAGAACTGAAGAAAAGTTTCATTAACATTAGGAGTTTCATTTTTGCTTACATTTGTGAATTTTTTGAATCAGACAGAAGAAAATGACATGCTTCTTGGTGCCAAAATGCAAAACTAATTAAATTTTCATGTTACAGTGATGGCAAATTTCAAATATTTTTCTAAGCTTTTTATTATTTTTAGTTCCAATATAATGAAAAATTTAAATACCAAGGAAGTGGAACCTAGTGGAGTATGACATCTCTATAAGACAATCAACTGAGCCCCATAGGATTTATTAGTCTATCTCATCTGCATCTCACACTTACTCAGATCATTTCTTATAAAGAAAACTGAATGGTGACAGTAACTGTCAAGATTGGCTGGCAATGTTGCTTAACACAAGAGGAAGGAGTCCTGATGATGAGACATCAAAGAACTTAGGAAACAAAATCTACTTTTTACACTTGTTATTTATATCAGAATGGGTTGGGTGAAATCATAATCACTATTTGAAGGCTGAACATGCTTCTATGAAACTCAAGCAATTTGATTGCTTTGGAAATGTACCAGACATGATTATTTTCTAAAAGAAATTTAAAGTGTATGCATTAAAATCATCAAAGAAGAAATAGGGATGCATATAATCAACAGGAACGAAAGTTAAAAATAATAAATCAAATTAAAATAATTGTTAATTGTGTGCTTTTTTTCATTGGTGTTTACAGTCTTGTGGGTTTTAAAAATGTTGTTATTTTTAATTGACATATAATTGTTTAGGTTTATGGGAATTCAATACATGTATACAATATGTTGTGGTCAAATCAGGATGATTACCATATTTTTTCTAACTGGGTAATTTCAAATGACCTATTTCATGTTCTGTAATTCTTTACTCTGTTTAATCAAGTATACTGTTAAAGCTCTCGATTGCATTTCTTAGTTCTTTCATTGAATTATTCAGTTGCAGGATTTGTTTTGTTCTTTTTTATAATTTCTAACTCTTTGTTGAATTTCTCGTTCATATGATGAAGTGTTTTCCTGAATTTGTTGAATTGTCTATCTCTATTTTCTTGTATCTTATTTAATTTTCTTAAGATCATTACTTTGAATTTCTTTTCCAGCAATTCATTGATTTCCTTTGCATTGGGATTTGCTACTAAACAGTTCTTATGTTCCTTTGGTGGTATCTTATTTCCCTGCTTCTTCATGTTTCTTGTGTCCCTGAATTCATGCCTGTGTGTCTGGTAGAACAATAACCACTTACAAGCTTTCTAGCGTGGCTTTGGTGGAGAAAGATTTTCACTTGCATTTGAGTTATAGTACGTTATTTGGAAAAGGTGTAGTGACTCTGTTTCTGGATAGATGCAGTGGTATAATCTCCGTGTAGCTTTTTCAGCTGCAATAGACATCAACAGTAAGTGTGGGTGCCTCAGTGACCTAGTCTGTAAAAGTCTGTGGCAGTGTCAGGGGCATACGTTATTAATGTTCTTGGTACCAATGTTCTTTGGGGTCCTCCTATTCTTGTTTTCCTCACAATAGGGAGACTTACCCAAGAGAATCTTTCTTGGTGTCAGTTTTGACATGGCCTAAAAACAGCTGCTGCAGTCCTGAGTTTCAGGTGCAGATGCTCAGAATGGCTGTAGGTTGAGGGTCCTAGGCTCATGGGCTCATGAGCCTATAGTGGCACCTGGGTCTTGGGATGCAGGTTTGCTCTCTGTGACGGGATTGGATGTAGGTTGTTTCCAGAGCCAGGATATGTGATGCTGTGGCATTCTTTAGCAGCTCAAATGGTGATTCTAGGGGGCTGTGATTCTATCCCTAGGAAACAGGGCACAGCGCTGGGCCAACTCTGGGGAAGAAGGGATGCTCTACAGGTTTGAGCCCAGGGATAAGGCTATGGATGCAATTTGTGAACCTGAACCATTATGGCTCACTGGTAGTTTGGGTCCTGGAGGATAAAGAATCTTGTAGTAGTGACTCTAGCCCCTGGGATGGTCGGGCACAACAGTATCCTAGGCTCTGCAAGGCCAAGTGCATCAGCAGCAGCAGCAGTAGTACCCCAGAATGATGGAGCACAGCTTTGTTTGGGCCCTGTTGTTTGGGCACAGGGTTCTTGAAAGAGACAAAACCAATAAGATGTACGTATATATGTAAGAGAGTTTTCTAGGGAGAACTGGCTCACACAATTACAAGGCAAAGTCTCATGATAGGCCGTTGGCAAGCTGGGGAAAGAGAGAAGCTAGTAGTGTAGCTCAGTCCAAGTCTGAAAGCCTCAAAACCAGGGAAGCTGACAGTGCAACCCTCAGTCTGAGGCCAAAGGCCTGAGAGTCCCTTGGAGGCTGCTGGTGCAAGTCCCAGAGTCCAAAGGCCGAAGAACCTGGAGTCTGATATCCAAGGGCAGGAGGAGAGGAAGCAAAGCATCCTGCACAGGAAGAGAAAGAGAGAGTCAGAAGACTTAGCAAGCTGCTTATTCCCCTTCTTCCACTTGCTCTGCTCTGGCCACTCTGGCAGCCAATTGGATGGCGCCCATACACTTGACAGTTCGGTCTTCCTCTCCCAGTCTAACGACTCAAATATCAACCTCTAGTGAGACTCTCACCGACACACATCCCTCGATCCAGTCAAATTGACACCTAATATTAACCCTCACATTACCCAGAAAGAGGGATGTTTCAGCACCTCAGACTCTAAGGGTCTAGTTCAGCTCCAGGGAAGGAGGTTTCTAAATATTTTTGTCCTGTAAGGCAGGTGTCTCAGCTCAGGCATTATTTTGTTTTCCTGGAATGCAAAATACTAGATCAGCTCAGCCTTGAGATGTGCAGCTCCTTGGCTCAGCCAGGGTGCTGATTCCCAAGGGAGGATGTTCTGTGGATGCTCTGTTTCAAAGAATTCAAAGTAAATACAAGTATTTCTTTCACAAAAAGACATTTTGCCAGCAAGTTTAAAAGCCAAGAGCAAGATAAATCACATAGTACTAAATTATTCTAATATTTTATGTCAAAATAGTGCAACTAATTATATAATTCATGGATTGTGGCTACAATATCCTCACCATAGACAGAATATTAATGTACATATTTTCCAAAGGTACATTAATACAAAACCAGTAAAAATTCTTTGTGAAGTCCCTTGGCAGGGACACATTTCACCCTTCTCCAATTCTGGCATCCCCTGATGCATTTCTTTTTCCTACAATTCTGCCTTTTCTAGAATGCCACGTGAAAGAAACCACACACTATGTACCATTTGGGGTCCTCACAATTCTTGTTATTGTCTAAAATTGCAAAGTTTAAGGAAGTTATATAAAAACAGACTACGTCCTTCAAGGCAGTTGTACATTCAGGACATCATTTTGCCTACACCATCTATCTTTGAATAGATTTTTCTTCCTACTTTCATTTTACTATCTTATTTTTTCAATAAAGTTGAGATAGCATGTTGCAGGATGCTAAGTTTCGGTCTGAAGCTTATACTAGGGCTGCAGATGATAAAGGTAATGGATTGGTTAAATTTTTTTTCAAGGAATTGTGAGCATCCTCTTGGAAGATAAATTCATTTTTCAAAACTTTCACAAAACTGGAAATTCTCCTTATTCTTGAAATTATGATGGGTATGGATGATTTTCAAGTGATGGCACTGCTACTGATACATTTTCCTTCTTTAGCAGTTTCATTCAACCAGGACTTGAAAATTTGTAGTGCGAGAAATTCAGCTGAATGCTGATAATCTTCAAGTTAACAAGGTAATTATACAAATGACTCAAGCTAGGGGATGCTATTCAGTTAATGGAACTTCTTCGTATCTAATTGATCCAAAGGACATGCTGGCTATAATGGTCTAGAAGGTTTATGTGTCCCTCCATTCTCTCCCAGATATGTTACTTCTACATCAAATTTTTCTCTAATTCTGTGAGGAATCCAGATACCTGGATTGAAGTCAAAGAATAAAACCCCTAGCTGTGTGTCTGAGATGTTGGTTCCAGAGAAATGGGTAACATATTTGCATACTTTCTTTGGGTGACTTCCTTCAATCCCCTGCTTTTCCTGATTGCAGATGTTACATAGCACCCATGTTGGCTGCTGCTCTTTTCTGTTCTTAAGAACGCCATGGTCTATTTATCATCTCCACTCTCTGTGCATCAGGCCTCTTGACTGTCCCTCTGATCTTATGGGTTTTTACGGTAATTGCAGCTTCCTGCCATTTGGTGGTTAAGTGCCACCTACTGGTCTGATGGCCAGGCCATCATCCTCATAGATATCACTGAATGCAGCTCTGTGAACACTTCACCCGCTATTAACTTACACATGCAGAGGAGAATCTCCAATCAGTATCTGTGATTCCAGTGATCCTCTCACCAGTACATTCCTGATGATGCCGTTCTTTGAATAGTGTGTCCTTGGCCCTCTGGTGGAGCATCATTCACTGGTAGGTCTTCTGGTCTCAAACAATATAATCTCACTTCTTCAAGCTCTGTAATCCTTTCTTTACTGTCTGCTAGAGTGATTCAGGCATTTCCATCTGACTTAACCTTATCCATCACTTTCTAAGGGCTATGCTGACAATAAATTTACTTCTTACCTTGGGGTCCTTTCTAGCCTATTATATTTCATGTCCCAAGAAAATGCTCCCAAATCAATTTATTCTTGCTTATTCAGGCTCACGTTTTGGCCCCCTTGGTCAAGCTCCTGAAGAATCTCATTCCAAGAGTATGTATCTGGCTCTTGCCTGTAGATGCTGATTCTTCCAACTCTTCTCCCCCACTTTTATCAAGTCCATTCTCCTAGTCAGGTTTTCCTGAAATTTATCTGTAGATTTGGATCTTACAGCCAGAAGAGTAGGTCTGTGAAACTCCTCCGTGGCACATGTTCAATTGTGGAAGAAACACTTCTGCAGCATTTCCAGTACAGGAGAAGTATCATCTCTTACTAAGCAAGGGTGGGCCACTTCTACAAGGTCTAAGGGTTCTAGTGATTTGAAAAGCCAATTTTCTTCAGGGGCAACCATCTATATATCACCATCCATGTTTCAGGGGGCCAAGTCATTTCCCTACTGAGGCCCTAATCTTAGCATCACAGTCCTGTAGCAGCTGAGCATTCAAACATCTCTAGAGATATGTTACTCTAACTTGTAGGCGTAGCAAAGTTTCAGAACTAGGTCTTTTTGTCTTTGATTGGCCTGACTTGGGGCATGTACATGTCTCAGCAACAATCCGTGTCACCAGGTGAACAAGGCACTTCCATTGAACCAGCAAGTATTGCGAGCACTGGAATGAGAAGAGGAGTTAGCAGAACCAGAAGCAAATAGGCTGAGAGTAGGGCATGATTAGGCATTTCAAAGCAAAGGCTGGGTGCTGTTTCCGCAAAAGAGAGAGTGCTGGGCAGCAGAATTGCAAACGTCCGAAACAATTTACCATTATTAGATTCCTATTTATTAATAATTCTTTAGATGTTCTGAGTTACTAAGATCAAAAAGGAGAATTAGAAAAGGAAGTCAAGAGCCAGGCCTACAGCTTGTACCTGTAGTCCCTGATACTTGCAAAACTGAGATGGGAGGCATTCAGGGGTCACTTGAACCTAATAGTTCAAGGTAGGAGTGAGGTATGACCTCACCACTCTACTTCAGCTTGGGTGACAGAGCCAGTCTCTAAAATGCATACATACATACATAAAGAAACAAACAAAATCAATTAAAAACCCTGCTTTGGTCTGAATGTTTGTGTCTCCCCAAAATGTATATGTTAAAGCTTCATCCTCAAGGTGACAGTATTAGGAGGAGTTCTTTGGGAGGTGATTAGGTCATGAGGGCAGAGCCTCCAAACAGACTAAAACTCCTGGTAAAACAAAGCATTTGGATAACAAATTCTCATACTTTATTTCAATTGCAGGTCTTCCACTTGTCATCTATAGCCTGGGACACATGACTATTCAGGACACTGGAGAACAGAGGGAAACACCTGGCTTGTGGTCTCCAATCAGTCTTTTCATTCATTTAAGGAAATCATCTGCTCCAGCCTACTGCTATGTAACAGCGGGCTGCGCTGAATCTTTAGATCCAGACTCAACATGGCAGTCCTATTCCTGGCGGAGCTCTCTGTCCAGTGAGTACGCTTGTAGGAAACAAGTGAAATCCCAGGAAGACAGTGAAAGAGAGTGGGGAGCAGTTAATACAGATAAATTACTTCAGAGACCAAGTGGCAGAATAGTGCTACAGCGTTAATAATTTACTACCATGACATGAAGTCATGGTAGTAATTGTGCTTCTTCTCACCATTGTCCTAAGATTAAGGGGTAAACGCCCTTGTGTGTCTTTGCTGAACTAGGAAGCTCCTGAAGCAGCCGCCTTCCCCCTGTCCCTCAGAAACTGGAACCGGATTAAGGGGCAAACGCCCTTGTGTGTCTTTGCTGGCCTAGGAAGCTCTTGAAGCAGCCGCCCTCCCCCTGCTCCTCAGAAACTCAAAATGGCTCCCTCCGATGGCTCGACTCCGGCTTATCCCGGCAGCCTCCACCAACCTGCCCCCGAAAGGTAGTGTGAACTAGCCAGCCGGGCCCTTGCGTCTCCTCGCCATGGCCAGGGCAGCCTGATCCGCAGGGCTGGCAGATGCAGGAGCCTCCCGCTCCTGCCTTTTCCCCGGGCGGGCGCACACCGGCCTGAAGTCGGGAGGCTGCGGCAGGAAAACAGCCAAGGGTCCAGGGCCATGTGTCTGAGCGAGAGCGTGACTCCCAGGTGCACTCGCTGCGCTAGCCCTGCAGCCTCTGCAAGGAAGGCACCGCCCACGCGGCCCGCGCAGACTCCTGCTGCGTCCACTGGATCCTGAGCGCCATAGGTAGGGGCGGCCCACGCGTGGCCTTCATTCTCCTCGGTCCGCCCGTGAGCACTGCTTAGCCCTTCAGTGCCACCGGAACGAACGTCTGGGCGCTTTGGAGCTGCAGAGGCCAAGGACGGCTGCAGCCCCAGGTAATCACGATGGATGATGGGGCCCGGGGTTCACTCCCAGAAACCATACCCGGGCGACTTGAAATGCGAACTCCAGAGGTGGCACCATTATAAGTTAGGACGTTTCTCAGGGCTTAAAGTGAAGGGTACTGAAACTGACACTCCTGTTATTTAACTAAGTTTTCCCTCCCCTGTTTTAAATAAGTTTATTTAGACAGGGAGAAAAGACTCCTCTAGATGATTTTGGGTTAAAAACATAATCCACAATGGTTTGTATGCTGTGGTCATTTGCGTATGTCTATTAAGTCTCGCTAAACAAAAAACTTTCAATGGAAAATATCCTTAAAGGCACATTATAGGTTCTCTGTGGCACTTGGGTATCATGTTACCAGTTTAACCAGCAGCTGTCTTTCTGGAGTGGTACCAGAGTTAAACCCTCGGTGATCGGTTTTAAATGTTAAACTCAGACTCTGAAATTCACCAGGTTTCCAAGCCAGATCTTGTATGCCTAATTTAGTAATGAGTTACATAACATGAGGTTATGGGACCGCTAACAAAACTGCTGCTTCTTGTGAAGCCTGTTTTCAAAGAGTTTAAGCTTATAAAAGTGGTTGCTGCACTTCTCAGGTATGTCTTACCTGTCAAAATGTTCTCAGGTGCTAATTTCAGCTCTTTAAACTTCAATTAAGTGTCCCCATTTATTTGCCCTATCCAATAATAAATACATAATAATGATATTAGCTTTTTTTTTTTTTTTTTTTTTTAACTCTGTCACCCAGGCTGGAGTGCACTGGTGCAATCTCAGCTCACTGAAACATCCACCTCCCGGGCTCAAGCAGTTTTCCTGCCTCAGCCTCCGGAGTAGCTGGGACTACCACCACCTGCCATCATACCCAGCTAATTTTTGTATTTTTAGTAGAGACGGGGTTTCAGCATGTTGGCCAGGCTGGTCTCAAACTCCTGACCTCAAGTGATCTGCCGGCCTCGGCCTTCCAAAGTGCTAGGATTACAGGCATGAGTCACCATGCCTGGCCAAGATATTAGCTTTTAAAGGAGGTAAAGCAACTTGTGTCTCTTCAAGTTCATCATGATGGTAATTTCAGAATTGACCAAGTGACTAATTCCTTGTCCTGATTGAAGTTTTAATTAAATTAAATCAAAACAGAAAAAAAAACTATTTATTAGCATTGTGAAGTATTTTTAAGTTGTGCCTTTGAAGTGATCCAGCATTAAGAGGAGGGATAACGACCTTATAATTGTTGAAGATCTCCATCAAAAACTTGTAATTATCTTTTTCATGGATTTACTAAACAAACTACGTTCTCTGTTGTCTGAAGGACTAGAATTTTGTAACTGATATTACAGATTTCTGCTTGATACAATGCATTTTAGCATCTTCTCCAATTAGGTTTCCTGACTTGAAACCCATTTGAACCTCAAATTTACTTTAGATTGAAGTTTTACTTTTTTTAATAAAAATATTGTAATAAGGCAACATATGTAATGAGAGGATTTCAAGAAAAAGATTTATTTAAAAAATAGGAATACCTGTATTAAAATGCAGATACTTAAATATTGAGGCACAAATAAAATTCATCTCAAACACTCAGTCATATTTCTTTTGCCCTTAGAGATCCGTATTAGAGCAGAATGCAGTTTAAGATAATTTTTCAAAAGTCTACATGAAAAGTGCACTTTTCGTGTAGACTTTTATATATATGGCCACCTTCTCAATGATATTCTAATTATTTTCTTCTAAGTGAACTTGATGGCAGAAATAGAACCATGTAGAATGTACATAGTGTTAATTCTAAACACTATGTCTCATTAATTTCTGTAATGCCTTTAAAATGAAAGACTCTCCAATTAATAAAAAAAATCTTACAATACTATTTTGGAAGATTTTTTTTTTCTTTTTGAGATGGAGTCTTACTCTGTCACCCAGGCTGGAGTGCAGTGGCGCACTCTTGGCTCACTGCAACCTCTGCCTCCTGGGTTCAAGTGATTCTCCTGCCTCAGCCTACTGAGTAGCTAGGGTTACAGGTGTGTGCCACCATGCCTAACTAATTTTTGTATTTTTAGTAGAGACGGGGTTTTGCCATTTTGGCCAGGCTGGTCTTGAACTCCTGACCTCAGGTGATCCCCCCCACCTCAGCCTTCCAAAGTGCTGGGATTACAGGCCTGAGCCACTGCACCCAGCCTGAGATTTTTTTATTGCTAATTTTGTTTGTTTACAACATGGCATTTTCTTTTAGTTAAAAGTTTTTGGGAATGTAGAACATTATAGCAAATATCTGATTCATTCTGATAAAATTAAAAGTTTATCCTAAAAAATAGGGATATTATTCTAATATGTGGATTCTTTTCTTGGGTATATATCATGCAGATGAAATTTATTATGAGCTAGAATCTAACTATAAAACAGATGATGTGAGGTTCGGGCAAATTGTAATTTTAGTTTAGTTTTTTAAATTAAAGGAATGTTTGACTATGTATCTTTATTGCAGTCAAGATACAGCTTAGATGCCCTTTGGTGCTGAGGACCAATTTTTATAGTTGAATATGTGTTACTTTGATAAGCACTGTATTAGACATTGAAAATATAAAAGAGAACAAAACAGAGGTAACTACAGATGCTTTTGAAGACACCATTCACAGAAAAATCAACTTAATTATATTTAATTACAAAAATGAAATGTGCTACACAGGGAAAGCAGAAGTTTATGTGAGTATGTAAGAGAGACCTTACCTGACCCATCTAGGGAGTCAGAGAAGACTGTTTTAAGGTGGGACATTTAAGCTTAGAGGCACAGTATTGGGAAGATGAAACTAGACAAAGAAATGAGGTTGGGGAACGATTCCAGAGAAGGTGAACAGCCTATGGGATGACACTGAGATGGAGTTTGATTTGTTTGGAGAACTGAAAGAGGACCCCTTTGCCTGGAACTTAGCAGGGAGCACACTATATAATCAGCAAGTTAGGGGTGGGAGTACACCACACAAGGTCTTGTGAGATGTGTAAGGGGTTGTGTTTTAATGAGAAAGTGAAATAGGAAGCCACTGATGGTTACTCAGTTAGGAAGAAAAAGATTTGCACTTTGATGTTGTATTGAGAAAATTGTGGAGGGGGTCAAGAGCATTTCTAATGAGATTAGTTGTTGCAGTACTTCAAGTGAGAGAGATGTTGCCTAGATAAGGAAAGAAGTGCACTGGGTCAATTGAGTTTTAGGAGATGAAAATGAGAGAACCTGGGTTTATTTAGATTCACAGAGATTTTAAGATTTGGGGCATGAGCCACTGCATGGTTGTGGAAAGACTGAAAGAGGTGTAGATTTTAAAGGGAAGATCATATATCTAATTTTGGAAAGTTTAAGATTCTTCGTGGGATAACCCTGTTGGAGTCAAAACAGTGGTTGGCATATAATTAGAAAGGGATTAGTAAATGTGAGTTATTATTACCCTCAGTTCAGAAAGACATTTGATTTAAAAATAAAGAAAAATAAAGAAAAGTTGGAAATTGTTACAGTATAGATACGTAATGTAAGTTATGGGCCTAGGTGAGCTTGTCTAAAGAGAAAATGAAGACTTGATGCTCATTGTGACTCTAATATCTCTTGTCTTTTGTTCTGAGATACACATCTGGCATTAGATCACTGCACCAATAATTAGCCTGTCCAGTTACCCAGAACCCAGTTGTGCTGGAATATACTGTGATTCTCTTCCTATTATTCAATATTCCCTTTAAGCACTACATTTCTTTCGAAATATTCCCTAACTTTCCTAAACTTCATTGATCTCTCTCTCTTGAAATCCTGTACCATGTACGCTCAGTCAGTATGGCACATCTTAGCATTTATTTTATGTGGTCATGTAGTCTTAGCTTTTGTTTAATATATTATAGCTTTATTTCTCTAAAAAAATTACAGAAAAAAATTCGTACATAATATTACCTCTATGGCAATATTGGCTCCAAGTATAGAACTAAGCCCAAAGCAACTATTAAATAAATGCCTGTTGACTAATGGTAGAATGGTTAGTTGATTAATATTTTGGGATAGGTAAGGATTTCGGTATTCCAATGGTAGCATTTCTACTGTATGTTTGAATGCTATAAAGGTGTTGTGTTGGTATTGAATGGACCAGAATTAAAAGACAGCAAATGCATAGGCAATAAAAATTATATATATCCTGTAAAATAGCATATAGGATATGTCATTAGAATGGAGCCAAAATGTCAAAATAATCTATAGTGCATCATATGTGATTTTTATTTAATTTATTCAATAAATGGTCATTGAATACATACTGTGTTGTTAGGGATACAATAATTGATAAAAGAGAAATTAACTCTGCCATTTGTGAGGCAGATATTAAACAAATTTTTAAAGATAAACTTGGCAAGAACTACAAAGGAAACTTTCATAATGACTGTGTGTTACTTCAGGATTTACTGAGTTTGGGGGGTATGCTAGGAAGACTTCTAAGATATACCCCCCAATAATCCATGTCTTTGTATAATCACTGGCCTTTAGTGTGGGTAGGACAGATCTAGTGAATATGATGAGATTTCTCTTCTGTGATTAGTTTACCTTGTATCGCAAAGCTCAAAGCCTTTTGCAGATGTAATAGGGACCCCTAATCAGTTCTCTTTGAGTTGAACAAAAAAGAAGATTTAATCAGGTGAAATGTTTTAAAGAGGGACTTAGACCTTCTTTGAAAAACAAACTAGAAGCAGCAGTTTCTCTTCCTCCTGTCTTGAAGAAACAGACCACCATGTTGTGAAGAGGGCCATGTGAAAATGAACAGTAGAAAGTCTCTTAGAATTGAGAATCTAGGTTCTACAGTTACAAGGAACAGAATTCTGCCAACAACCTGCAAGCTTGGAAGAAGACCTCAAGTCTTGGATAGGACCCTTCCATCACCAAAATCTTGATTGTAGTCCTCTATGACCCTGAACAGAGCAACCAGTTAGGCTCTGCCTGAACTCTAGACCCATGGGAACTATGATGTGATAAATGTCTCTTCTGTTAATATGCTAAATTTAATAATTTTTAAAGAAAGCAGTAGAAAACTGATAAATTATAAATGTTATAATTTTTAAGCATAGCAGTAGAAAAGTGATATATAAGCTGAGAAGCTTTATGGAAGAATTGTGTGGAAAAGACACGTCCAGAGAGGCGATGTGTCTACCTCTCCAGGAGATGCCCACTGCTGAAGAGTTCCTTAGAAGGCTGTACCTTTGCCTCTGCCTGCTGCTACAGTGGAATCCCCTGTGGAAGGAGTGACAAGAGTTCTGTCCATCCTGAGGTTTTGAGAGCTAACAGAAACATAGCAGAGAATGAGATTTAGCTGTTACAGGACCAGGTCTCAGTAAGACCAGCACGTTCTGATTCCTCATCGAAGACTAAACTTGGCCCCAGCACAGTGAGGTGTGCAAAGGAAAAAGATTTTTGGAAAACCTTGCTCTTAAGAGAATCGTATTTCATCTATTTAAACACATCAGACAAATCCTTCCCTAAGGGACGTACATAAGAATTCTTTCTGGCTTTAGAAGGAAATATGCAGATTGGTAGTTTCGCTTTCGTTGTTTTTTTTTTTTTTTTTTTTTTTTTTGAGACAGAGTCTCATTCTGTCACCCAGGCTGGAGTGCAGTTTCAGCTCACTGCAACCTCCGCCTCTGCAGTTCAAGTGATTCTCCTGCCTCAGCCTCCCAAGTAGCTGGGACTACAGGTGTGCACCACCATGCCTAGCTAATTTTTGTATTTTTAATAGAGACAGGGTTTCACTATGTTGACTGGGCTGGTCTCAAACTCCTGACCAGGGGTGATCTGCCCACTTCCGCCTCCTAAAGTGTTGGGATCATATAGGCATAGCCACCACACCTGGCCTATTTTTATATCTATTAAAAGAGAAAATAATATTAATGGTTTTCTAATATCAAGCATAACTGTTGGGAGCCAAAATGCCTCATGCCTCCAAACTCAGTAAATCCTGAAATAACACACAGTCATTGTGAAAGTTTCCTGTGTAGTTCTTGACAAGATTATCTTTAAAAATTTAATATCTGCCTCACAAATGGCAGAGTTAATTTCTCTTTTATCAATTATTGTATCCCTAACAACACAGTATGTATTCAATGACCATTTATTGAATAAATTAAATAAAAATCACATATTATTCACTCTGCATCATCACAGTGGAAAGTCACGTAGCATGTGTTTTACCCTTGTGGCATTTAGAAGCAAACTGTGAAATGCTGTTATCTAGAAGGTAATATGTTGCAATACATTTTTAAATCAATCCAAAAACACTTCACAAAGATAGGAACTAAAATTATAACACTGGTATAGGAATATAATTTATTCGTAAACATGTTATACAGTTTTAAATATGCAGTACTTCTAGGTGTACTTAATATAAAGAAACTTCAATTTCAATTAAACATCACAATCACTGAGGTCATTTATATTTGTTGACATTTAACAGCACTGGGTTGGTATAGAGCTATCACATAGAATGCTTATGGAGAATAAAATGTCATGTTTTAAAAATAAATTGATTTAAAAATATTTCTAATCATTAGGGCATTTTATTTGGCAGAAGGTTGGTGCACCACAAACCTCAGTTGGATGTGAGAAACCTACAAAGGTCTCTGGAATGGGAAATTAAGGAGCCATTTGTTTTTCTCCTACTTGACCCTAATATATCCTCTATGCTAATGATAAATTCACGTTCATGAAAAAAAACTCTCTTTTCCGGTTCTTAGGCTTAAGAACTTATGCTTCTCTATTGGCTGCCATCGTTATAAAGATCTTTTCTTACACTCAAGGGTTTTCATAATCTGCGTATTAACATTCTTTCTTCTTTTTTTTTTTTTTTAAGTTTTCACAACTGGAGCTTTTCTTTCCTCTGTTTGTTAGATAATCCATGACCCATTACTGTGTTCAGTGCTGCTATTATGCAGATCCTCCACCTTGATATTTATATACTACTCATCCTTCAAGGCTCTGCAGAAATTCCACTTTCTCCCAAAAAACAGACCGATTCTCCTAGTAATTATGGTCTCTTTCTTCTCTCATTCTATTACAGTCTTTCGTCTCTACTCAGCAATCTACACATTATTGTTCACCATTCCATTCACTGTCTTTTCTTTGTAATTTGGGACTCTTTATAGAGATTCATATAAGGTCAGTTCTGGTAAAACATATATGTTTTGAAAATACAAATTTGAATACTAGGGGACAGTTTCAACAAAACATAAAATTTGTTTTCACTTTAGCACAATTTTATCCTCAGGAAACACTGGGCAAACAAGAAAACTGCACTCAGGTGAACAAAGCCATGTGGCCATACTCAGAACAGACGAACACACATGCATGTCAAAATTATATCAACTACCTCAGCTCAGCACACACCTGTTATGAGCCACACTCAAATACGTTTAGTGTTACAAGTTTCTGCCTGATTTGAAAACCCTCCTTTCATCACTTTGCAAGAACTCTCAGATGCAACTCTTCTCACATTTACTTCCACAAGCAAACTTCAGGTTTTGATCAAGGTAAAGTGCCATATTTACTGTAGTACATATGGATATATCAATTATTCACACATGTAAAACTCCAGTTTCATATTTATTGTGTTTTGATCTTTATTTTTTTTCTGTGTCACTGACAATGTTTTTGAGTGTCATACCCTTAACTCCATGTTTCTTATTGGCCTTGTGTTTCATATTACAAGATTTTGCATAGCTTGATGATATTTTTAGCACTACCTGTGTCAGATAATAGCAGAACTGACTGTATACATTGATACTTTATTATATATAATCTGAAATATATAGTTTATGGAATAAATAATGTAATTATACTTCCTGTAATGCTGAGAAGTAATATCTGTTTCAGTTACCTATTGCTACATAACAGACAATCCTGGAACTTAGTAGCTTAAAGCAATAAAGTTTCCCTCTCTCATGGTTATGTGGCTTGACTGGGCATGATGGACAGTTATGCTGGTTTCACTTGAAATCCCATGGAGGTATAATCTGATGGCAGCTGGTGCTGAAGCAAGAGACGGACTGGCAGGCTATGATGGTAATGTTTCCCTCTTTCTGTGAGTAGTGCCAGGGCCTCTTCTCTCTGCCTGGTGTCACCTTGTGTTATCCCTGATAAAGTAGCCAGATTTCTTACATCTCCATGTGATTAAACAATTTCAACAATTAAGACTCGGGTTCCCAAGAAGCACAAACACAGAAACAGCCAGGTGTCCCTAAGCCTTAGACCTGGAACTGGCACAGCATCACTTTTCCCACCTCCAATAGGCCGAGCATCACAGGGCTGGCCCTGACTGCAGGAGAGAGGAAATAAACACTTTCTCTTGGTGAGTAAATAGCAAAGAATCTGTGACTATCTTTAATCACCATGGTATTCTTTACTAACAATTTGGTAGGTCAACATCATAAGATTTTAGAGCAATATTTTAGCAATTATTCAATCTAATATCATCAATTTATATGAAAGTGTACTGGAACAAAATGATACAATAAAAGACAGAGTTGGAGCTATGAATCTCTCTTAATTCTGTACATCTCATAGCCCTTCATAAACTGCCTGGGATATAGTAGGCAATAAATATATACTTGTTGACATAGGATTTTACTAAGAAATAGAAACTGAGATTCAAATAATATTCTATTTTAAAAAGCACTCAAGATTCTAACTTTCTAGAAGCATGCCTGGATTTTCTGAAAGACATTAAGACTTGAAAGAGAGATGAAAAGATAGCAGAATAAGATATTTCAAGATGTTTTAACTATTCATATTTTCACACCATTATTGTGTTTTCTCCACACACACACACATACATACTTACACACAGAGAAATGAAATGATACAAGGCAGTGAATCTAAGATAAATATTTTATTTCTGAAAAATATAGGACATCATCATGGTCTAAAACTAAGTTCATTGTGTCTTAGGAAATGTTTGACTCCTCACATTCATCCTACCCCAAAAATGTCCTTGTTTCACTAGAATCAAACTATGTAAAGACTTATTCATCTTTTAGATCACTAAATAAATTAGTATGAAGAACATTATTTTTATTACAAAAGGTTACCATTCTAATAAAAACATGAGTGACATTTTTTCAGCCTGAAT
Source organism: Homo sapiens (assembly GCF_000001405.40). Taxonomy (NCBI): domain Eukaryota; kingdom Metazoa; phylum Chordata; class Mammalia; order Primates; family Hominidae; genus Homo; species Homo sapiens. The sequence continues at coordinate 116,715,022 of NC_000004.12, forward strand.
TTAAAAGAAAACACACAAAGTTCATTTTATATACAATGTAACAGAAAAAAAAGTTCTGTTGGTTTATGTGAGGCACATGATGAAATGTTTCTAAATTTTGTTGAACTTGCAGGATGTACCTCAGCTTGGCTTTCCTCACTTTTGTTTTTAAGCTGGCATTTTCATTTAATAACATATGGCCGGGCGTGGTGGCTCACGCCTGTAATCCCAGCACTTTGGGAGGTCGAGGCGGGCGGATCACGAGGTCAGGAGATCGAGACCATCCTGGCTAACACGGTGAAACCCCGTCTCTACTAAAAAATAGAAAAAAATTGGCCGGGCGTGGTGGCGGGCGCCTGTAGTCGCAGCTACTCAGGAGGCTGAGGCAGGAGAATGGTATGAACCTGGGAGGCGGAGCTTGCAGGGAGCCGCGATCGCGCCGCTGCACTCCAGCCGGGCGACACAGCGAGACTCCGTCTCAAAAAAAAAAAAATAAATAAAATAGAAAAACCTCTATACCTTCTACCCCTATATAAAAACAGCAGTGGCGGCTTCTTCTCTGTATTTTTTCTTCTTAGCCCCCTCCTTGGACTCTGAGGTGTTGTAATCTGACAGCAATTGTTCTCTTCTCTATGCTTAGACTCCTCTTCCTTATTTTATAAACCTCGTTCTTTTTATTTCATTTTTCTCTGATCCAGAGTATATACTTCGTGTCATTTTTGTTTTTGGAATTTTAGCTCTTTTAGACTGTACCAAGTCTCAGCATCTCACGGTCCTTTTCTGTTTTGTGCCTGTTCTGCAGGAGCCCTGTGGATGGCGGCTTACTGGTCATGTGACTTTTCACCATCCAGGCATGAGGCTGAGTCTGATTCCTATGGATGTAGAAACACTTTCCAAATTACAGATCATTATTCATCGCAGTATTCAGTTATTTGTTTATAAGATGTGAAAATTAGATTTAATCATTTCTAACATCTTTATCAGTTCTAACTATGTGAGATTCTCTAAAATATTTTGAAGAGAGATCTGACACCCATTGATTTGAAAAGCGTAATAATATAGTAAAACCGAGTGAGCAGGACATCCTCTTCTAAGGATCAGAATTCTCATCCTCCATCCTCCTGGGGTGATTTGCCTAACAGCTCTAAGGAATTGTGAAAAAGCATAGTTAGTCTCCAGACCTTAGCCTTTTTTGGGTGAGGCATATCATTTCAAGACTCTTGGGTTTACTTGAATAACTTATCCATGCATAATGTAATTTATTTAAAACATTTGAATATATTTATATAATTAAGCTCTATTATCTGTTATTATAAGAAATTTCAAAAGCTTCCTTCTAGGATGAAATGAATTTACTTGTTCCTCACCTTTAACCAAATACGAAACAATTTTGCTTGTACTCTTGTAGAAGTCAATTGTTTTCCTCTTAGCTTTCACATTTGTAGTCTGAAAAGGTTTTTTGGTTATTATTAGTCTGTTTGTTTTACCTTTTCTTCTTTTTAAAAAACATTTGTTTATGCTCATCAGATCTATAACTGGATACATTAGAAGGAGCTTGAGATTTATAGTGAGATAACCCTTAATCTAAATCTCAACTTTGGCATTTTTGTCTGTGTTCCTGAGCAAGTTCTTTGACCTCTCTTAGCATCAATTTCCTTTTTGTAAAATGGAAAGATAGCATTTAAAGGCATATGCAGTGCCTAACACTGTAAGATCTCAATAAATTTATACTACTTATCATGATAATTAGACCATGAACAAGAACAGTGTAATTTAAAAACATGTTGATGAAATATGAAAATAAGTAAAATGAGTTTCCTTAAAAGTTGTAGAGGTATAAACTGAGGAAATTGGATTATTTTTGCTACTCATTTATGAAAAATATTTAAATGCCTACCGTGTGTCAAGCATACTTTCAGGAGCTGACTACAGAGCAATAGACAACACAGGCAAGTTCCCTGTGCTCATCCAGCCTTCTTGTTGTGAGGAAAATCAGAAAATCAACTCACAGAATAGTATGATGATTTTTAATGTGAGCTAAGGAGTAGCAGGGTGTATAGCAGGGAGGCTGCTGCTTTGGGGAAGGGGATAAAGGAAACTTTCTGCTGTAGCATTGGAGCTGAGACCTGTAAGGTAGGAAGAGCCTGCAAAATGAATACCCAGGCTAACAGATGCAAGGTAGAACAAGCTTGGTGTGGTCAAGGGAGAGAACAATGGCCAGTGTGACTGGAGTGCAGTGGATGCAACAGAGCCTGGAGTGAGATGAGTTCAGAAAAATGTACAGGGGCCAGATTATGTGGAGTCCAATAGGGCATGGAACAGAGTTTGCATTTTATTCTAATTTCAGCAAGCAGGATCCTTAGAAATAAAGTGATATGGCTTTCTTTGGGTTTCAAAATTATCACATTGGATGCTTTAGGTGGAACAGGCTTTAGGATCTGTGGAAGGTGAGAGACCAGTTAATCAGCTATTGATGTAGATTAAGGAGCTTAAGAGTGGTAGAATTTTAAGCAGTGAAGATGATGAGAAGTAATCAGGTTTGATATATATATGGTGGAGGTAATGCTGGGAAGATATGTTCAGTAATTGTATGCCAGGAAGTGTTGAAATAGCACAAAGGGAGAAATCACAGCTAAGTCTCAAGCGTTTGGCCTGACTGACAGGTAGATAGAAGTGCATTCCTGCATCAGGAAAGTTAATGAAGAAAAGGCATATAGAGCAATGGTTTTGAAAGCATGGGTGCTGGAGACAGACAGGGTTTGCTTCCAACTTCAAGTACTGGCCAGGGGCAAGTTTCTTAAATTCTTTTTACTTTAGTTTCCTCATGTGTGAAATGAGAATCGTAATACCTATCTCATTATTTGCTCTAATAATCCAAGGAGGTAATGGATTAAAACTGTTTAGAGCAGTGCTTGGCATAAGGTAAGTTTCATTACTTAGGGCAGAACAAATTAAAGGTTCTCTCTTTTGACATGTACAGTTTAGGAAGTCTTTTGAACTCTTGAGTAGAAAAGCATGTGCATATCGTAGGGTAGTGGCAGCAAAGATACAGAGAAGTGACCGCAAAGATACAGAGAAGTGACCCAGTTTGAGATATGTGTTGGAGGCAGAGGTGTAACAATAGTGTCATGGTTGATGGAATGAACTCTGTGAACAGATTGGATTTGCATTCCATCTTCACTTACTGCTATGGACATGTTCTGTAACCTCTGAGTGTCTCAGTTTTCTCAGTTGAAATGAGTCTCCTAAAGGAAACTATCTTACATTTTTGTTCTGAGGATAAAAATCTAATATATGGTGTGTGCCAGTAATTATTAAGAAAGAATGATCAAGAGTCATGTTTGGGCAGGGTAAGTTTGAAATGAATTTTCAACATAGAGATGAACATGTATGCCTTGAATAACCAAGACTAGAGTTCAGGAAGAATCAAAGCTCAAGATACACATGTAGCATTCATTGGCATATTGATAGTATTTAAAGCACTAAGATGGGATGAATTCTCATAGGTTATATCTAAGGAATAAAAAGCTATCACATGATATGTACTAATTATTATTAAGGGGAGAGTGACCAAGAGAAGTAGCTAAGTGACCAAGGTCAGAGGCACTTCACAATTAAGATCATAGCTCAGGTACACTTACCAGATGACATGGAAGTAGCAGAGAGTCAGAAATATTTCAATACATCACTAATCTTTAGAAAGTCAGAAATAATTTAATACTTCACTAACTTTTAGGAAATATTCTTCATGAAATAGTTGTGTCTGAAGCTCTAGATTACAAATTTTCCCCCTTTAACATTTCACATATATGCCTTCGAATTAGATTGTAGGCTTCTTGTAAATGTGGTGTATTTCTTTTGGCCTGTCACTGCCCCTGGCACAAGGTAGTACACATAGACAGCACTCATTTTAATGCTGTTTTTAAGTAAGTGTTTCATGGGGTGACTAAAGTATCTTTACCCTAGTACTACATGGTAGGCTAACTACTAGGGACCTGAATAATTTTGTTCTAAGAAAGACATTTGGTGGATAGCTTACTTTACTGTTTCCACACCCCCAGTAACTTTAGAAAATTGATCAGTGCTCAAGGATAAGGGTTCAAAATTCATCTTAAGTTATGCATGTGGAGTGAAAAATTATCTTTACCTTACTATAAAAGAGTAGAGTTATATTAGTTCATTTTCATGCTGCTGATAAAGATATATCTGAAACTGGGTAATTTATACAGGAAAAAGGGTTTAACGGACTTACCATTCCACGTGGCTGGGGAGGCCTCACAATCACGGTGGAAGGCAAGAGGAGCAAGTTCACATCTTAAATGGATGGCAGCAGGCAAAGAGAGAGGTTGTGCAGGGAAATTCCCATTTTTAAAACCATCAGATCTTGTGAGACTTATTCACTATCATAAGAACAGCACAGGAAAGACCTGCCCTCATGATTCAGTTATCTATCGCTGGGTCCCTCCCACAACACACAGGCATTATGGGAGCTACAAGATGAGATTTGGGTGGGGACACATAGCCAAACCATATCAAGAGGTAAAGAGAAGATATAATGGGTTTTTCACTTGAGCTGATTGATGCTGGAATTTCAGATACACACTAGAGCCAGTCAAAAACTTTCCCAGTATCTTAACCTTTTGAACCATAGTCATTTCATATATGGAATAGAGATGATAACACTTACCTCATAATATTTTGAGAGAGCTGAATGAGGGTGTGTTCTCAAATGATTGTTTTATTATCTACCCTATGTGCAAAATGTACTTTCTCTCATGAAATGTTTTGAGTCTTTACAAATTCCCATTTTACTCTGTGCACCAACTACAAATAACTCTCTCTTAATTCATTGTATGCCTAAACAACTGAACCTATTTTGAAAAATAATTTATATGACACAAGTAGTGAATGTGTATAAGTGTGTATCTCTGTGTAAGTGTATATCTCTGGATATAAAATTTCACAGAGTTATAGAAATATATTGTTTACTTGTACAGCTATAAATTTCTTTACTTGTCATTGCTAAATGATTTTTCATGTGAAGCAAAAAGGATTGGTTTTTTTGTTTTGCATTTTTAGTTTCTTTTTTTTTTCTTTTAAACAGATTTAGCAGCATTCACAGTCAAGGACTGTCACGGACCGTCATGATGTCATTATTTCCTGGCCCCTAGAGAAGGATCTGTGCTAATTAAACACATTTAATGGGAAAAAGTTCTGTTCACCTTAAGCTATTATTTCTTTACTTACTAGTGTTTGTTACAATTTACAAACAAGAATTATACATCCCAGTAAATTGAACCTTCTTTCTTCTCTGCTCCCTTTCCCCCACACTCAATTTACCAGGTACTAAAGTTGCATAAAGTTTATAAACCAGTTGGATGGCTTCTTGGGAATAAAGTTTTCATTGAACAGTTTCTTGTAGTGTTGGACCTCAGGAAAATTCAACAGCTCTTGCTAATCCAGTGCTGATTTTCATTTTCAAGCCAGGAGCTAAACATATAAATCATGTTTAACACAATGTACCTGCTTTTAGAAAGCTGTATACAGTCATGTACATTTATTAGTTTTCCCAGCTTGAAAGCTTCATGCATTCTTTGTTCTTCCTTTCTTTGTATCAAGAAAACACCACCCAGCCCCCCACCCCGCCCCGACACACAATGGTGCTTCATATTATGACATTTTGTGGCATGATTATTTTTCCTGTCTACATCCTCAAGTCATTGCTTCATTAATACTGTACATAAACTGATTTTTTGCCACACGTGGCTATTTCCGAGTTGTCATTTTGCCACTGAAGTTTGTTCTCTATGCTGTGTGACAGATTAATACTGTTATCAATACATGTTTTTGAAATTGGTATTGCCTTTATATATGTGGAATCATCAAATCATTTCTTCTCTAAAGGGGCACCTTCAAGTTCCTTGTTTTTTGTTTTTCATGAAGAGTCAGTTTTTAAAACCTTGTCCAATTTACTTAAACTTTGTGTGCCTTGATTTTCTTATCTATGAAATGGACTATATGAGTAAATTGAATGAGAAAATCTATATATAGTACTCGGCACAGAACTTAAGCTTTCCTCTTGGGGCAGTTACCTCATGGAGACCTGAGGTCCTTGTCATGTCTCCTTGAATATTGATGGGTTCTATAATGTCTTTTGCTAATAAAAAAAATACCCTCTACCAATTTCCCAGCCCAGGCAATTTTCACTTCTTGTCTCTTGATATGCTATGTCTGGGAGTTTTGAGTTGGCATGTACATTTTCTCACTATCTTGAGACTACGATGTTGGAGAGGCCGTGTGTGTGCGGTCTAGCCCACAGTCCTAGCTGAGCCTAGGATTCGAGGCATTTCCACCAAGACATCAGACATGTAAATGAGGCAGTCATGAATGTTCTACAGCACCACCACACAGACTTGTGGTGATACTGTGTGGACCAGAAGAATTTCCTAGCGAAGCGCTACCTGCACTCCTGACTCACAATATATTGAGATATAAGGAACTGATTATAGCTATAAGCTACTCAGTTTTGTGTAGCAATAGATATAGGAAAACTGACATATAGAAATAAAATGGCTTTTGTATCCTGTGACTTTAAATCACTTATTAATGTTAAATTTTTCTGTACATATATACATCCTTTATACATATTTAGAATATTCTGAATATACATGTAATTTTCTGCATATATATTCAGTTACCTGAGAATAATGGCTTCTATTTCAAACTTTTCAATATTATTCATTAATCTGCCTTCTTGAAGCAATTGAGGCCTTTGGCAAAAAAAAAAATGAATTAATATGATTATATCAGAAGAATAATATGCTTTTTGACTTCAGAGTGAAAGGTATTGAGAATACTCTATTAAGGATGACATTTATTTTAGTTTTTTTGTAGATACACTCTATCAGATTAAAAAGTTCTGCTCTATTTCTAGTTTCCTAAGAGTTTTTTTTTTTAATTAAGAAAGTCTCTTGAAATACTACTTTGCAAACAATAGTTGTATATTGTTTCTCTTCTCTCTCCAATATGGAAGCACTATAAAGTTTTACATGTTAATTATGTTTATTTCTATAACTCCAGTAACTAGAACAATGCCTGTTGAATAAATCTTGTTGAATACATTTATAAACAACGAAGAACATATTTGAGTTTGTGAATCCAAAACTTCATGTTTTCTATTAATGTATCTGTGGAACTACTAATCAATTAAATTTGAAGATGTGAAAAACTATGGAAGGAAAACTACTGTAAATATTAGGTTGAATAAAATCTTATTTTAAAGGCAGTTAACAGTATCAAATATTACAAGTCTGAGAGTGACATAATTTCACAATTGAATTGATCTATGATAAGTTACAGTAAAACCATACAATGGAATATTATATAATTATTAAAAATATAGAGACACTAATATATAGCTGATAAAGAATTAGCTCCAAAATCTTGAAAAAGAAAAATAAAATAAAGCATGGTATAATGACTAGACCATAATGACATTTGTATATACAAAGCATATATGCCTAATTCTAGATTCTTCCACCTACTTTGCAGTTTAGGGAACTAAGTTATAGAGAGATTATGTAACTTGTCAAAGTTCACATAGCTAGTAACTCTTTTTATCTGTACATCTATCTGTTTACCTGTCTGTCAATGATCATAATAAGCTAGTGAGACTGGCATCTCTTGTAAAGGGCACTGGGAAACGGAAAGTGAAGGAAAGAGATGAAAGAGACTTACTTTTTATTGTTCTGCCTTTCGTATTTTTGAATTTGTATCTTATACGTGTATTAGCTATTTCAATAAATTACAAAAGTAATTTTTTAAAATTGATGTTCTGTTTAGATGTTTGTTATGACAAGACATGGTTTACTACCTTTGTGCATGCTTTTACAATTTTCGCTTATGTTGTCAGAGTTATTCTGTTTGTACTTTTTGAAACTTTTTAAGGGCTTAATAAATATAAGTATTGTTACAGTGCTGCTTACACACCAATGACATTGTTAAAACTTCCATGTGTATATGAATAATGCAAACATATTTTTATAATAAAAGAAGTCACATTTGTTTTGATGGAATTTAATGAAACATGAGCTTGGTCCTAGTAAGTTTGATATGACATTTCAGTGAACACATGGGTTCACAATTTGAGATTTGTGATGGTTGTAATTATAATTTTAAGAGGTCCTGAAGTCCTTAGTCCCTTCAATTTCTCAAACCAAGTGAATCAAATAATACCTAGGAATGTCACAAAAATGCCACCCTTACAGTTCATTTAAAATATTTGAATATGTCCTTTTTCTCCTAGGAACAAAAATAACAATAAAAACACAATCCGAATAGTGATGTGTGAAATGTTCTTTTTAAGGAAACCCTCATGCTATTTTTAATAGAATTGAATACAAACTTAATAGCTATGCTTAAATACACCTTCCCAACAAAAATGTTCCTTTGCTTGTAAAAACGTTTTTCTCAACAGTAATTGAATTTGGAAACATCTTTACCTCCTTATGCCTACACATATGGCCACCTTGCTCAAAAGAGATAAACACCTGCTGTACCCCAGATTATAAACATAATTTGAAAAGTACTAAAAAGCTCTGGAATGTTTTGATAAAGAGAGGCATTACTTGTAGACAACTTATATAATAAATTATGTAATGGCTTATGTTACTTTGGCTATAACCAGTGTTAAGGAAAAATTATTCTGACGCTTGTTAAAGCAGCAAGGCAGACACTTTTTTTAGGACTATTGCATTAGGGGTCAAGACTATTGCGATAGTGGAGGGAGATCAGGTTCAATTCTGAATATAATCAAGACAGCTGGGGATCTATAGCCAAGGAGCAGAGTGGCAAGTTTGCTGGAGAGAAAATTACTAAGAAGAGACACCCAGAGTTGGGTGTTTCTTGTTAAACTGACTTAACACGATTCTTGCTGAAGGCAGACAAGGGTGATCAGACATCAAGGGTGGGAGGATTCTCATTAAACTGACTTAGCAGGATTCTTGCTGCAGTCAGTTAAACTGTAGCATGCTAGACTATGCAGGCCCAGAAAAGATGGAGGGCAAAGCACAAGGTCTAATTGAAAAGAAGGGTGCAGGGAGCTTGTCCAAAGTTTGGTCATGGACAGTTTTTCACCAATCAGAATATGGCACATGCAACGGCAAATCAAAATAATGTGAGGCATACCCAGAGCACTCAGATTCCCTTAGCATATGGGCCTGCCTGGCCTGCCAAACATGATGAGCATTAACTTTGACTCCCTGCTTCTTTTGTGAGTGGGCTGAGCTGCTTTTGGTGTACTACATAATGACCATAAGCGGACACCTAACCTTTGAGGAAAATAAGGCAAAGCTATCTGCAAGGAGAAAACACTAGTCATGCTGGCTGAGAATACACAGCGAGTGATCAAAGCATGACAGAAACTACCCTATTAGTACTGATTTTACTTTACTTTCTAAATGTTGGTATGTTGCATTTTCATTTTCATTTGTCTTAAGATCTATTCTGACTTCCGTTTTGACTTCTTCTTTGATCAGGTTGTTCAGAAGTATGTTGTTCAGAAGTATGTTGTTTAATTTCCACATATTTGTGACTTTTCCCATTTTTCTGTTGTTAGGGATTTCTAGTTTCATACTACTGTGGTAACAGAAGAAAAAACTCTACTTATATGAAGTGTCTGAAATAGCCAAAATTATGGAAGCAGAGAATACAATAGTGGCTCTAATGGGTTAGGGGATAAGGGAATGGGGAGTTTTCAGTGGGTGTACACAGTTATGCTAGAGGAATAAATTCTACAGATTTGCTGTACAATGTAGTGCCTATAGTTAACAATATGGCATTGTTCATTTCAAAATTTGTTATGTGGATTGATATTATATTAAGGTAGCTCCCTTTACCCGAAAAAGGGGAACACAAGAAAGGTGCTGGATTTGTTATAACATTGATTGTGTTGATGGTATCATGAGGTTTTGCATATGACCAAACTCATCATATTGTACGCATTAAATATGTGCAGCTCTTTTTATATCAATTATAACTCAATAAAGATGTTAGGAAAATAAATGAGAAATGTCTATGCAAAATCACATTGGTTTGTTTTATTCTCTTGTTACTACCTACTTTTCGCCATCTCCACTTTAGGTCCTTGTTTTGACTTACAGGTATAATTACTCAGGATAAAAGGAATAAATATGGCCCCTTTACGTCCTTTCTTAAAATTTCTTGCTTATAGGATCATTTTGCATTTTTTGCAGATATTTATGGGGTGAGAGCTTCTCATTTGTTTATAGCAGTTTTGTAAATGCCCCCAATACAATTCTAATCACATAGTACTACTAAAGTCATAGCCTGAGTAACAACAAAACATTAAGGAATATTGTACATAATATCTTAATTGTGACCTAATCACAAGATGATGATCTCGGATGCCTTGGCATTCTTCGTGTGCTGGAGGTTGAGGAGGTGAAGGGAGGTAGATAGAATTTGCATCCATCCAAGGAGACTTAGAATGCTTGCAGAATGAATGACTTGGGCAAGAGTCATGCATACATGGACCAAGTTGTGTTGGTGCAGCAGGGTGGGAGAATAGTGTTTGCCTTCATTATTACTCACATGTTCCAGGTACAGGGCTAAGCGATTTTCTTATACTGCCTTACTGAATACTAAGAGGCAGAGAAAATATTGCCTCTGTTTCTAGATAACTAGCATAAAGATGCCCCCACAGTTACACATTTGAAAAATGTTCATAACTATATTTCAGTCTGAGTCTATGTTTGGTAATTTAGAAAACTGCATTTTTAAATTTTTTGTTATTGTTTAGATAACAAAATATGGCTAAGGAAGCTGAATGGTAAGAGCCTGCTACTCTTTACCTGTGGGGTTTTTATTTTTGAAATCTGAAAGTACGATTTATTAAAGCATCCAAAACAAAAAAAGTCAGTGACAAAGTTGAACAAAGATGTGAGATACCTATACCCTGAAAACAACAGAACATTGCTGAGATGAATAAAAGAGTAAAATTCCTGGAAACAATTAGTATGACCATGAATTCAATGATGGGTTCTTTTCAATCAATGTATAAATTTAGTATTATCTTAATAAAAATTTTAGCACGCTTTTTAGTAATAATTGATAAGCTGTTTTAAAACATGTATATGGAAATAGAATGGCCTTGGAATAATCAAAACAAGTTTGAAAAAGAACAAAATTTGAGGACTCACACTATCTAATTTAAATACTTATTAACCAAGACAGTGTTAATAGTAAGAGATTATTGAGTTTAGATTTTTCACATATAAAGTATTATTTTTTTAATTATGACAACTCGAAAAGAGAGGTTTATTATTTTCATTTTGAATAATGACACTTGGAATCAGAAATAAGAGCAGGTTGCTCAAAATTATACAGCTGGTTAGTAACAGACTCTGGGCTCAATTCTCAAATACTAGTCTTCAAGTTCTAGGTCAATTGCTCTCTTCAGGCTTCCCCTCTAACCTCCCAGTCCAGTTCCCAGGTTAAGTACAGATTTTTTTTTCTGGTAAATTCTCTATGAAACAGATGAAGAAATACATGAGGAACTACTAGGGCAAATTTTCCCTCAGGTTCTCTAATGTAAACATAGCTTTTAAAAGGTTGAGACAGGATACCAGCAAATGAAGTTGAAGCATTTTCTTCTTGGCTAAGTATCATTAATCATGTGCAGACAGAAAAACTATTGTACTGTGAAAAACAGAAATTCTGCTTTAGCTTCTACTCACCAAACAAAACAAGCAGTTGCTTAGCCTATGATGATATTTCATTTTTAAAGTGAGTTAAGCCCTGTTTTACCAGCTGTAGACTCTGAGAATGAATATGGGTGTGAATGCTTCTCAATGAAAGAGGGGAAAGAACCCACAGGAAATGATAGGCTCCTTGGGAGTTTGAGAGTGCAGTTCAAATCTCCAGTGGACATTTGGGTTAAAAAAAAATTTAAAGCCAATTATAAACAAGAGAATAACAGTCTATGATAAGAAAATCCTTTGCTTGTTCTTTCTCTCTATGTATCCACAGTCAATGCTCCTGACAAGCACCTATTTATTTTAAAGATTCTCAGCAAACATATGTGGTCTATTATCCTTTTGCACAATATGGACTTTTTGGGCTCCCGAGAAATGTATGTCTATTTAAAATTAGCTTTGAAAGTTCTTTTATTAGCTTCTTGTAGAAGGCCTAGCTCATTTCCTTTTTTTTTCCATTTGATAATTACTATCCCCCGGTAACGTAGCTTCACAGGTTGATTGTAAAATCCCCTCACCATATGGGCTATTTTAAATATAAAGTGAAAATTTTGACAGTTTGAGGATTTATTAATATATAATAATTCTGAAATAATTATATTCAGCATTAATGGTTAGAAAAGTCTAACCTTTTCTGTAGCATTAAATAACAGAAATATTGGGGAAATAGGAAAACATTAGATTTAAACACAAATAATTACTACCTGTAAATTACATTCTTAATATAAAAATTGTACCTTAATTTTGGCAAAAAAAATAACATTTGTAAAATCATTAAGTTTGCAAATATCAAATGATAAACCTAATTAATAATACTACTACAAATATTAGAAGAAATTAAACAATGTTTCTGAAAACATAAAATCTCACAGAAGGCCCCATTCTTTGATTGCTTCATTATCTGTCTTAAAATAATGTCTTTTGTTGCTCTTTTCTAGGTTCAGCAGAATATGGTAATATACACTAGCTGGAATGTCTATTCCCAGTTTGCAATATTTTAAGATTACTGAGTACATTTCCTTTTCTAATATAGAGAAAAAGATTATAGCATCAAAACGCAATTTGAAATACATTGAAAGACTTGCTGACATAGGAATGTATAACATTTTAATTAGTTTGCTTGGAAGCTAGAGATTTTTAGGTAAATGAATCCTATCATTTTTAATTTAGTAAAACACTTTTTATAAAGACATGTTAGCTTACTTGAATTAAGTGACCAAGTTATTAAGGAGGATTCAATGAATATAGGGCACATTCTTCCTAAAATCATTTTTCTTTAATAGTTGCAAGTTAAAATAAAGAATAAAATATAGTGGTATTTGAAAATTCCTAGCACTTTGTAGATGTTCCATAATAGTCTCCAATAGGAGTTAACAAATAAATGGTCCATGAAATATATTGCATGGTAGTCAAATGAATAAAAAAGAATACGATTAAGCTAGTGCCTTTAAATTTTACAACAGTTTACAACTTTAAAAAAGAAAATGTTATATACATTGGATTCAATCATTTAAACAAGGAGACAGAAGAAATATTTTTTGCTTTTTATGGCCATAACAAGACCTTCAGTCAATTCTTTCTACTTCATCCAGTTAGATTCCTGCTTGTGTTGGACTCCTTACCAAGCTTGAGATGGGGCAGAGACTAGATGTAGGGGTCAAGGGGCATCAGCTCCCTGGAGCAGTATCTCAGAAAGGAATAGGACCTCCGGTTGCCTCTCTTTTTATTACCTAACATTATCTTCTTGGTACTGGTGTACACCTGAGGATTGGCATGGACATATGGGGAAGACAAGGTCTTGTAAATCTAGGCTGGTTAAAAATAAAACACTGAATGGGTCTCTAAGGAGTTTAAATTTTGCATGGAAAAGTCCTTTAAAAAGTTCTTCTTGGGTCTTAAAGCTGGTAAGAGGCTTATTTAAATTTTGAAAAGATTTACATGTATAGCAAATAAAAAGAACTTTTAAATTAAAAATTTTCTAAATTAAATGCTTAAAAAATGAGAGGGGAGGGAAGACTCTTCCCTTATTTTGAACAAAGAGAATTCAGTTTCTTTTTTTTAATTTGTATTTACCTTTACAGAGTCTATATTTAGTAGGCATAAAATTCAGTCCCTTGGGAAAATTATATTATAATTTTAAACTTTATATAGAAGAATTATTACTATGACTTTCTGTATATATAAATATTTTCTGATCAAATATGCTATAATCAAATAAGCTAATAGAAAACCATTAAATATATTACTTGAACATTTAATAAATTATAATAATTATAGCAGCCTTATATTTATGTAAGATATACATTTAGCTAAGACATATGTATTTTGTATATTACCTAGAAATATATACAGAAAACATTTTGTATAAAACAAAATATTAAGTTACATTATCTTTCTCTGAAAGAAAACCATCCATACTTCGGATTTACATGAATATTTTTAGTTACTTTTAAGTATGCATCAGGAAATCAGAACATTTAAATTGAAAATATGAATTAAGACTAACCTAGATAGACTTTCTGTAATGTCCATTCCTTTTTACTTGGAAAAAGTCAAGTTAAAGTTGCATATTTACTAGATATGTACACCAGTTTCTTAAAACTTTCAACCCATTTTTCTTTCTAACATAGCAGCAGTAACATACTGTTAATATAGCCTTAGATTTTGATGTTAATAAATATGTGGCAAACATAGCACAGGCTGTGAACTATCTTCTATTGCCGATTTACATTAATCAAGATAGGTAGTTATTTCCTGTCAAGGCTGAATTTGTTCTGATGTGTTTTAAGACGTACAGTTGGAAATGCTCTGAATTTTCGTTAGAACTATTTTGCAAATTACTGTTTCTCTGGGATCATAAATAACAATGTCCAAACTGTGACATAAACATTAAATATTTTTCCTTCTGTTTTTAAAGAACAAAACACAATTTTATATATTATACAATTGACCCATTTGAAGTATACAGTTTAATGAACTTGTAAAACTGTCTATAAACATGTAACCGCCAACAGTACAATTAAGATATAGACAAATTATACCACTCTAAAAAGCTTTCTCCTGCTTCTCTGCAGTTTATACTGCCCCCCCCCACACCCCATACCTGCTGCCAGGAAAGACTAATCTGCTTGCCCTTTTATATAATTTGATATAAATGAAATCATATGTTCTTTTATAATTTACTACTTTCAGTTAACATAATGTCTCTAAGATTAATGTAGGTTGTTCTATGTATTTTGTTTCTCTTTATATCACCATGTGGTATCCTACAGTAAGTTTAAGTCATATTTATTTTTCCCATTCACTGGTAGATGCGCATATGAGTTTCTTGAACTTTTGGGTCATTATAAATAAAGCTGCTCTAAATATCCAAATACATATCTGTGTGATGGCATATTTTCATTTCCCTTTGATAAACACCTATAAATGGAACTGCCGATTTGTATGATAAGCATATCTTTTGCTTTATATGATACATCTACACTGCTTTCAAAAGTGACTAACATTTTGGAGACCCACCAACACTGTGTGAGACTTTGATTTATACTCACCAATGTTGAGTGTTTTAACTTTAACCATTTTAGCATATATATGTGTAGTTATATCTTGTCATTTTAATTTATATTTTCCTGTAGGCTAGTAGTGTTGTGCATCCTTTTATATAACAATGAGCATTTTTTAATGTAACAATTGACCATCCTATCGTATATCTTCCTTTTTATAGTGCTTATTCACAGATTTACTGATTTTTTAAACATTTATTTTAGGTTTCGAGGCACATGTGAAGGTTTGTTAAATAGATAACTTGTGTCAAATAGGTTAGTTGTACAGATTATTTCATCACAGAGGTACTAAGCCTAGTATCCAATATTTATTTTTTCTGCTCTTTTCCTTCCTTCCACTGTCCACCCTCAAGTAGACTCCAATGTCTGTTGTTCCCTTCTTTGTGTTCATTAATTGTCATTATTTAGCTCCCACTTTTTATAAGTGAGAACATGCGGTATTTGGTTTTCTGTTTTTGTGTTAGTTTGCTGAAGATAATAGCCTCCAGCTCCATCTATGTTCCCCCAAAAGGCATGGTCTCATTCTTTTTACGGCTGCATAGTATTCCATGGTGTATGTATACCACATTTTCTTCATTTAATCTGTCATTGATGAGCATTTAGGTTGATTCCATATCTTTGCTATTGTGACTGGCATTGCAGTGAACTTCCACATGCATGTGTCTTTGTGGTAGAATGATTTCTATTCCTTTGGCTATAAACCCAGTAGTGGGATTGCTGGGTTGGAGGGTGGTTCTGCTTTTAGCTCTCTAGGGAATTACCATATTGCTTTCCACAATGGTTGAAATAATTTACTCTCCAACCAACAGTGTATGTGTTCCCTTTTCTCTGAAACCTTGCCAGCATCTGTTATTTTTTGACTTTTTAACAATAGTCATTTTGACTGGTGTGAGATGCTATCTCATTGTGTTTTTGATTTGCATTTCTCTATTTCCTAATTTTCAATTGGGTTGTCCTACTATTAATTTTGACTTATAAGAGTTCTTTCCATATTCTGAACAGTAAGCCATTGTGGGATTAGCAAAAATTTCTCTCAATTGCTTTTCTATGTCCTTAGCTATGTATTTAAAAAGCAAATATTTTTAATGTTGGTGAAGTATATTTTATCAATTTTTGTGTTTTTTATTTTGTGTATTGTTTAAAAAATCTTAGCTAAATCCAATTTTCAAAGATTTTTTCTATGTTTTTACCTTTTTTATCGATTTCTGTATACGAAAGGAAAAGTTTAGAAGGTTTATAAAAACTCATTTTTATGTTAAGCTTTTTCTATTTTAGAAATGTTTAGGGAATTATAAAATATTTTAAGAAAAATTAGCTTAGGAAAAGCAATGTGTTGATTAGACATGTTACCAATAATTCTAATGAAAAGTGACACTGTTTCTCTGTTATTTTTCTTAAAGATTTGACAATTACAAGATATATCATCTTGCTATATATATATATTGCAATTACAAGATGATGTATTATAGTATGCCTCTGCTTGGGGATTGCGTTAGTCAAAGAAAATTGATAAGAATATAATGATGTAGAAAGATTGATAATGATATAAATTACTTGAATTAATTTATAATAAAAATAACCTAAATAAGACTGTAGGGATTGATAAACACTATCTATAGATTAACTATTCTGAGCTCTTCTCCAAGAAATTTTCTATAGTGCTGTCATATTTTCTTAAAGGTTTCTTTAGAAATAAATTCTTATTTAAAGAAAATATCCATATAACTGTGTCACAACTATGATGTTATGTAAGGCAGTTGTCACTGGGGATTTACTTGGTAGAGTTTTGGCCTACATTTACTGTGATTTAGATCTTTTAAGAAATATTATCTTCAATTTTCTGTAAATGTATTTATATCTCTAAATAGATATGCCAGTGCCTCTCACAAAATAGCTTACAGGATATTTATATGCCATATTATTACATCAAAACCAATTGAAATCAGATATTTATTTTTAAAAGAGGGGCAACTGATCGCTATTAAGTTTTATAATACCTACATATTCCTTGTAATTTGAGAGGTGGTTTGGTATACAGGAAATTTAAAAATTAATTGTTTATGAATATCTAACAATAAATGATGAAGGTAAGAGAACAAGGACATGAAGAATTTTCCATTTCTCTCTGATAAATGACAAATTAATATCAATATTTATAGTGTATTTTATTTTCCAAAGATGGTCATATATATCTTCTCACATGTTATTTTAAAAATGTGACTGATACTTTTTCACTCAGCAGGTGAAATCTATTCCCTTCTCTGGAATCTGAGTTGGTGATGCAATTGCTTCTCTCCATAGAAAATAGTGGAAAGTGAATTCCATGTGAGTTAAATGCTAGGCCTTAAAAATGTCATTTCCTACCTGTTTTTTACTCTCACAGGATACATGGCTATGAAAGACATTCATCATACTGTGGGCTAGCCTGAACCAGCCACTCTGGAGAGACCACTTGTCAAGGCACAATGGATACGAACTGAATCTCAACAACCAGCATCAACCATCAAAAGATATGCAAGTAAATGACCCTTCAAAAGAGGCCCTAGTCTTTGGGTCTCACAGTTGAGGCCATAGACATAATGGAGCAGGGACAAACTATCTCTGCAATGCCCCATCTGAAATCTTGACCACAGAATCCATGAGCATTATAGATGATTGTTTCATAGAACTAAATTTTACAGTAATTGGTTTTTCACCATTCTTGACACTTCACCATAAAATTAATTTATGTGTATATATTAGTAAGCTTTGTCTCACTAAGTAGAATAAACCGTTTAGGTCCATTTTAGTCAGAAAATTCTTCTAAACTGGTCTTAGCAGTAGAGACACCAATAAGAAATAAGCTCTGTTTTCTTATATAAAAGGATTTATGGTTTAGAACCACCAAAAATTTGCCCATCTCTGAATCACATAAGCTGATAAATGGAACTATTAAAAATCTTAACCTTTGTCATATCTTGTGATGGTTCTGGTGGACACATCCTTTGTATTTCAGTTTTTTCTGATATTACCAACCTCCTCTAGTTTCGATTAGTGGAAATCAAGTGCAGTACAGTTGTACTTGATTACTTAGATCAAGATAATTCCATCTTAGAAAAAGACTCCGTCTTATATTTCATAGGGCACTTATGCCACCAAGGACTGGATGTTTTGCCTAATAAATGAAGACTGCTTCCAACCAGATAAGGACATAGCGAAGCACACTCCTCCACTATCAGTCCTCACCAGAGGACTCTGTGGCCATAAAAAGTACAGGACTTCACCATCTCAAGACAGCTGTCTTAACAGACACTGTCTTGCTGTCACTCGTGATAAGTACCCAACATCTGCCACCAAAGACTCTGTCCACATCAAACACTCTGCCTTGTAAGACTGATAGACTACCCGGGCCAGACAAAGATATTCTTTTTGTCTACATTGCTCTCCCTGGACTGGTTTGCTAACCCTTTTCCCATTCCTTTTCTCTTGATGTTAAATGTTAATTTGTCGTGGAATGTTTAATCTACTTACAACATTTATATATTGATCAACTATACTATTGTGTGTGTTTTGCAATATTGACTGACTTGTGGAGTGGCTTGAGCTCATGTATCCATAGCTCTGACTACTGAGTGAATGGGAAGTACTAAAGAGAATTGCTTCCTTGGAAACTCCATGTAGCTTGTGGCTTTTGTAATTGAAACAGCATCAACACAAGTCTGACCTTGTAGAAAGACACAAACATGCATGGACCTAGAGAATAGTCACAGTTCAGGACCCTGAAATCATGACCTTCCTGGGAGAGAATGCCTGCCTTTGGAAAGTAAATTTTCCATAACCAGAGAGAAAGAAGAAGGAAATGGGTAGTTGATACTGCTTTCTTACCTCCGTGGGTAATCTTACTTTTCTTAATGTATTTTGGGTGGGAAAGTGAAGATATGCACAAACTACTTTACCATGTATCTTGTACAAAGAGCATAGTGGAAAGAGCATAGTGGAATTTTTAAGGTAGAGATGAGTAATCTTTCTCTTTCATGTTACAGCTATGTGATTTAGGGCAACTTATTTGACATTTTGAAAGTTACTTTACATATTTGTGCAATGAGGTCAGTAGACTTATTTATAGAGGTGCTATTGAGTAATAAATGATATTGTAAATGTAAAATGTTTAGCACGATACCAAACCAGACTCATTATAAAACAGAAGAATGAAATAGTTGCAGATGATAATCTAAGATGCACTCCTTCCCTCTTCCCTTTGCATGTTTCTCTTTCCCTAGTAGGTCTTATCTAGTCTCATGTCTCCAAGAATTATCTATATGTCAAATTTATCTGCACCTCAGAATTACCAGGCAAAAATAAGAAAATATAATGGAAACAAAGATGATACAATCTTAGCTGAATAGGGAAATAGGTGAAGAGGAAAAGAAACATGGACATAAAAATTATAGGGTCTTTATCATCTGGAGAATGGGGTTTGGAAAAGCAGGTTTCTGCACGTGAAAAATATATCATTTTAAATTACGAAGCAGGAGTTTCAAAAGGCACAGTTAGTTTGTTTGGAAAAGAGAAATGTCATCTTAGGGTAGGAAAAGGAAACAAATCACTGTAAGTATAAAATTGAAGTGGAAATATTCTTTGGTAAGGGAGAATAGTGGTGGAGTGAAATGGCAGTTTGAAGCCTGGTAGATTTAATACTGGTGATCTCCTGGAAGCTGATAAACAGTTTAAACTCACAGTGCTCAGCTAAGCCTTGAAGCATTGGATGATACTCTAGTGTGGGGTTAAAGTTTCTTTCCACTTGGCTTACATGGCTGAGAACCAATATCAGTAGGCAGAAACCAGGATCTGGCCATAGAACTTTGTGAACTGGCACAGTGCATTTATGAGGTAGCATACGGAAGCAGTGTTGTAAGCCTTGTGCAGATGACTGGCCAAGTAGGGTGATCTTACTTGAGGAGAATCTATAGATTATAGTAATTTGGCACAGTAGTTTAACCTGATTATATACTTGTTTTATCAGGAGTAAAGACATTTTTTTGTATCACTTGACTTCTAGTAAAACAGATGTAATTTCTAAAGCACAACAGAGAAATATGGCAGATTGTCACATACTTTTTATTTCTTGTGATCTTAGGGTGATATAAAATTTAAAATGTAGGTAACATAAAAATGATTTTTAAGTTTTTCTTAATAAATTTTACAAACTATAGTTTCTGTGTAACTATATTTCATACTTCATTTTTCATTTCTACAATCTTTCTGACACTCCTTTTTCTGTTAATCGTTGTGTATAATAAAAGAAAAAACATTTTCCTTTTCCAGTGAATGTTGACATTTTTCTTCTTATTAAAAATCAGCTTGAAATTCTCTCATTCTAATTGTATACACAACTTGCATTCTAATTAATTTTCTTTTAGTTTTCATAGCCAAAGTTTGTGTAATTTTTCATTATTCTCAGAAAAATTTCTACTTTTTGTGTGTTTGTTTTTCCTATAGAGCAGTAACTTTTCAATTCTTGCTATACATTGGAATCTCTGGTGTGCTTAGATACCACCCACAGGTATTCTAATTTATTTAGACTTTTTAAAGCCTCATTAAGTGGTTTTAGTGGTTTTAATGTTCACAGAAGGATGAAAATAAATGAATTAGAGTATTTTCATTTTGAGAAATGCTATGGGCCCCTAAGTGGTTTTAATATGGCTGTAAGGTACAGATAGGGATGGGAATAATGATATTAGAATATTTACATTAGAATATTCAATTAGAGATTAGAAATTACCATGATTTACTACTCCTTCTTTCACTACACTTTTCATACAAACAAAAAGTCTTACACTGGGATTTATTCAGCACTATTCCAAAGTTCCACTGTATAGGTTATGAAGACACCAGCATCTGCTAATGCTTGTCTAGGGCACAGCATTTACTATATAAGCCATTTAGCAACAGCACATTAGAACTTTACATGATCTCTTTTTTTTCTGTGTTAGTTTTCCATGTATTTTGAGTGATGAATCAAGGGTGATTCTTTATGATACACTGATCATTAAATACAGGTTCTTTTCTCAATAAAAGGTAGTGGGAACAAATTGAATCTCATATGGTTGGGCACCTGGTAGGAGCCTGCTGAAAATCTTGTCTGTTTTTGTTTATATGAAGTTATTGAAATGGCCTTTGTGTATAAACAGTCACAGATGGCCACATTCATTCAGTTTTAAACACTTGCAAAGGTTGCTACAAAAATCTTAGGTACAACTTGATTTATTTCTGGATTGCTTTCATGCCACCTGCTGACTGACAACATTAATAGAGTTTTTCCTTAAAATGTGTTTCAGAATAATTAAATTTGTTTACTATCCCTAGCAAAGGTAGTGCTGGAAAGGCAAATGCTGTTTCTTTTGATGGTTTGTTTATAAAAGTTACAATGCCTGTTCTTTCATTCCAGGTTATAATTTCTGTTTGTTCAATTATTGCTTCTTTTCTCCCTTTAGTGATTATTTGCTTAGATTACTTATTTATTCAACACTTCACTATACATATAGAGCCATGGAAGGTGCTATGAAACATTTTTCTGACAGCTCAGAGACATCCAATCTGTTTTGCCAGTAGGATATTTGTAGATTCCACCTCTACTCTCCCAGACTGGCAAACTGCCAGTGGTAGATACATTTATTAAAGAAAATGGCTGCTGTGTTTATGGAAGCCTAATATGCACTGAGTTGATGTCAACATACTAACTTCTCAGTTAGTTACTGAAATATATAACTCATACCCAAAAAAGTTAATGCGAATGAAAGAGCAAACAATTTTTAATAAGATAAATCTAAAGTAGAATCCTGTCACTAGGTTTAAAATGCTGAATGACAGTTGATGAGGGATTAATTTTTCCTAAACCGAAACAGTAGAGTTGTTTTGGGGATTAGATCAGACAGCTTATTAAAGTTTTTCAGTAAGGGGCTCAAAAATCTCAGATGATGGTAATAGCATCAGTTATTATTATTGGTATTAACTATTAGAGTATAATCTACTTACCTTTGAATGTTTCTCCCTGAAATATAAATCTTGTCCTCTATCTAGGTGAGCTGAACTGATTATTTGTTTTGTTTTCTCTCTCCCTGTAGACTTAGAGTAGAGCTGTTCAACATTATAGCTACTTTATTTTCAGATTTTGACTCTGGAAGAGAGAAGGGCAAGTGTTGTTTCATATCTATTACTATTAAACATTTCAACTACATTTACACCTTTGATCCAAATCCTATCCCTCTATGGTTTCAAAATATATCCATAAATTTGCTTTTTAACTCACATACAAATTACAAAGATGACTTCTGTCCCTATTTTCCCTTTTTGAGTAAAGAGGTGCCAACAAGTTCTTAACTTTCACTGTTACTAGGACTTCTGGAAACTATAAAAACTGGAATAGATATGGCAACCACAGGAGATTGATCCTGAAAAGAATCCATAAGTAGGATAATTTTATCATGAGAATGTATACTATTAGTTTTTATCTTTCACTTAATTCATTTTAAGAAAATGCTAAATATCGAAATCTGTTTAACCACAATTCACATATCAGTTGTGCCTTGAACTAAAAATGTGTGTTTCATGAAAATGTGACTAATTTATTTACAACACAAATAATTGCATGAGTGCTTTTCCTTGAGACAACTATAAAACTTATTATATGATACAGTCTCAAATAAGATTTGTCAAGAACTGTATATGGTCTTAAATTTTTATCCTCTTCTCAAACTAAAATATTAGGATACTACAGTTGTAATGGTAATAGAACTCACATGACTCATGGATCAGAGATAGGGAATAGCTTTTTTTTACTAACAGTAACAATAGTTGCTAGAGTGTCCACATATGTACTGGCACCCCAATCTCCAATTCACACAGAGTGAAGAGATGCAGATAATACCAGCACAAGCACTGGGGTCTGTTACAGAAAAATAATCTCGAGAATAGGGAATCTGAATTTTTATAATGAGAGCTAAGTTTCCCTGACCTTTGCTTTAGTGAGAGACATTACTCTTTATAAACTACACAGTAAACAAACCTTCCCTTTTATTCAGAGGAAGACACAATCTCTTCCAAGGCTGTTTGTCAGAAAACAATTAGTGCCTTTTATGGTAATAGATGCAGAAATGTGAGATATTTGGAGAATTGTCTCTCAACAATGTTTGCTGCTAGTTTCGATACCACTCTTGGCTTCTTGTGATTTTTTCCATAATTATATAACTTGGTTAGCCTCACCGATGAATCTGATCAATGGTGGTTGGACAAAATATGTCCAGTTTGTCTTCCATAATATTTAATTAAAATTACTATCAACAGGACTCTAATAAGCAGAATAGGGCCAATGTGTATTATTGACCTCAACCACACAGGCAGGTGCCCGGACCCAGCCAACTTAGCAAGTCTTATAAACCATCAGGATGCACCTTAGAAATCCAGGTATCTTTCTCCTTAAGTTTGGATCGGCCTTTTCACTTGGAATGTGGCATTAACATAGGTACAACAAGATATATTCAGCATTGCACTGGCCCATTCTTAGCTTCCATGGAGGAAGTTTAGGACAATTCCATTATTTGTAACAACACTGGCCAGTTCAACAATATTAGAGTTGAGGCTTGCCTGAAGTTGCATCATTAATCACTCCAACTAAAGTAAGAACCAAATTTTGCAACAGCTTTTCTAATTGTTTGACTATCAACATAGGGAATGCTTTTCACATAGTGTGCATAAATAGTTGGTTATTTCTCCAGAAAATTCCTTGGGTTAGCTAAGGATAACTTCAATTTGAAGACACCTCTACAGTCATCAGAGTGCTACACATAGATCCCTGTACATCTACTGGTGATATTTTATTAAACTCTTTAAGGTCTTTTATGACAGCCCTAAAATGCAAGTTGTCATGTTTTCATGAGAAAGGTCCATTAAGACTCAGCATCCACACAAGAAGTGCAATATTTTTGGAGAACACAGTGATCCTGGAGACAAAATGTGCTTTGCAATTGTTGTGAACCCCTCACCTAAAAAAGATCCGTAACAGTTGGGGTTATGGGTTGGTAGTACGTTCAACTTGCCTCCTCATGTGTTGGTCTGCATGTAACAGACCACACTGCATATGGTGTCTTAGGCTCACCAGAGATTTCAAATAATTGAGCTCAGTCCTTATTTTTAGAGGAAGTTGTTTAGGGATGGGGTGATGGCAAGTCCAAGAGTCAGTTCAATTTAAGATTTTTATGATAGTTTTGGAGAGCTCGCCAGGGCTTTTTCCTTCTTGAAGAAGGCTCCTGGGTCTATTGTGAAAGAGATCATAAATGCTCATCTCTCCCTTTGTGCTTTCTGGTGTCTAGGTTGTTCATACCTAAAGTGCTGGAGTTTCCCACTCTCACTGCCATTAATCAGCATGTGTCATTCCAATAATTGCAACTCTACTGTCATTCTAATAATTACTTTACTGTTGTAATTGTTGGAATGACACATGATGATTAATGGCAATGATTAATTCTCATGATCCCTATTTGCACCAAAACTTTGTGGCAGGAAGGGTCAGGTGCAAGTGGAACAAGAATATTATTATAAATCTTATAGAGACCCACTATATTCCCCATGCAGACCCACCTGAGCAAAAAAAAAAAAAAAAAAAAAAAAAAAAAATCATTATGCCAAGGGATGTTCAGGAAAGAATATAGGAATTCCAAAGAGGCTTATGGAATCCCTCACTACTTGTGTCCTGATCATTACCCAGGAATGGTACAGAAAGGATAATTCTTTTCTGGGGACAAATACATTCAGTGACTAATCTCCCTTTCTAGGGAGTTTGGAGCAGGAGGGGTTAAAGGAGATATGTCATTGATGATTTAAGTCAATTTTTAGAAAGTTGTTTTGATGTTCAATAATATCAGATTACAGTGAAGGATGGACAGTATGGACAGGACATTGAAGGTACATTGAATACATTGACTATTAGTCCATTTTTGAGTGGCTTTTGCAACAAAGTATGTTGTCTATTGTCTGGAAAGCCAAACACGTAAAACAAATTAGCTTTAAGGGCCACAATAATGAAGCTGAGGTCAGTTGTCTGTACTAGAATAGCAAAAGTATAACCCCCAAATTGTCAACAAGAGTGAGACACGTCAATGGAGGTTGAAGTTCTGATGTAGTCAAACTGCTGGGAGCAAGCAGGGAGTGGGGAGAGGGCATGCCCATGCCATACAGTCTCTCTAATGTTGAGAAAAATGATGCAAATTTTGACAGGAATAACGAGTCTGACGTGCAGTGGCAGTCTCTGCATCAGAATCATAAAGTCTTCATACCATGTGCCTAGCTTTTTGATTGGTAGATGTGTTGTTACTGTCTGATATGATCACGGTTCTAGAAAGCACTAGTGGCAATCTAGTTCTCACATCAAAGAATTGCCCTTATCCTGGGCATCTACATTAGTAACTCAAATGTAGAAGCCATGATTTGTTCTACAGTCCACAGCCCAATTCAACCGGCCAGTTTTTAGTTTTCCAAGTAGCAGCCCAAAGAGCTAAGTCATTGGCAAGAGTACAAGAGGCAATAAAAATATAACAAGTTGATCAAGGAGAATATTGGTAATAGTTATGGAAATAAGCTTGATTTTTGCCTACTTACACTAATGAACATGTCAATTTTTCAGTTCTGCATTGCTACCTCTGAAGCTGAATAGCCGCAAGGGCTCAGTGGACATTTTCAGTTTCCAGGTTAGCTGAAGTATCAGAAAGCCAGGACCAGCTATATAGGGAATCCTTTATGAACTGAAGCATCAATGAGCCTGCAGTGTTGCTTTAGACAGCAGAGTGGGAATAAGATTTATTTTGGAAAGATAAATACCAATTTTTAAATCTAAAGCCAAGGTAGTGTGGAGGGCATGTCAGCTGTGTTCTTAAATGAACTATTTCTTTTTGACAAGTCAGGAACTTGGGCACTTCCAAACTTGTTGTTGAGTCTTGAGTTGACCCACCTCAAAATGGGGATATCATGTGGGAGAATCACATAGTCTTCAAGGGTGAGGTTTTAAGTTTTGATGAGTTCAGTAGAAATTTGCTTTTCAAGAGGACTCCCTGGTAGTTCTGTGAGAAAGATTATGACTACAGCACCTTCCAGAGGCTTTTTTGGGTACAACTTCCTTCCTTTCCCAGAGACTCCAACATCAAGCCATAAATCACAGAGTCTCCTAAAATAAAAAACCACTAACCTTATGCAGACCTAACAGTTTTAGCACTTCTCTATATGCAGCTCTTTCCAACTGAGTGAATTATCTCAGACACTTATAGGACACACATATTCAAGTATATAACAAATCTACTCCAACTGTATATCAAGTTGTAGAATCTACAACAACAGTATATTGAATTAGTTCATTGAATTGGCCTTACCTAAAAGGTCTTGTTAACATCCTTTACTATTGTGAAACTTATTCAAATCTAGTCATTAGAAAAAAAAGACCCTTAAGACATTAATAACAATAATATTTCAAACAATGTATATTTGTTTATACCTAGCTTTAGAAAATTATATTAGAAAATTTATTTGAAAAATACAATTGTCTGCTGGGTGTAGTGGCTCATGCCTGTAATCCCAGCACTTTGGGAGGCCGAGGTGGGTGGATCACTTGAGGTCAGGAGTTCGAGACCAACCTGGCCAACATGGTGAGACCTGTCTATACTAAAAATACAAAAATTAGCCAGGCGTGGTAGTGCATGCCTGTAATCCCAGCTACTTGGGAGGCTGAGGCAGGAGAATAACTTGAACCCGGGAGGTGGAGGTTGCAGTCAGCCGAGATCGTGCCATTGCACTCCAGACTGGGTGACAGAGTAAGATTCCATCTCAAAAAAAAAAAAAAAAAGATAATGATCACATTTTATGTAAAATATATACATTGTCTAAACATAGGCAAATCTTAAAAATAGATTTAAAAATCTAGGATACTAATATATTTTTCCAATTGCTATTTTTTTAAAAAATACACTGTCAAATATAAGGGAGCATTGAAAAAGTTAAAAGAATCTGTATACATGCTTTGCACATTTAAAAAGTATTTATAATATATTAAATCTACAAATAAATTGTTGAAATTTTATTACTTTCTTTTGGTCCCTATTTTTTCACCAGATTAGTTTTCTTTCTTACTGTTATGTGAAAAATAGTGGCTAATACACTATAAGACTAAAGGAAACTTTTGACATCTAAGTTAGAATTGTAAGGGTAGATAGGAAAAAAAGTAAAGACAATTAATTATTTTCTCAAATATAAAAGATTATATAAATTTTGTCATAGGTCTTTCTTATTCTTTGGATATTCACTTCAAACACTTCATAAGAAATTTTTATGTTACTTGGTTATTTGTTCTTTTCTTTAATCCTTATCATTTGCTACAACATGAGGTGTAAAAATAATCCTCAGGTTCTTATATTTAATATATGAGATCCTATACACAGGTTTTTAAACCCAAAAATTAAATACTGATTTATAATATGTGGTAAAATGTGAACTTATTGTTATTAAATACAAGCAAATCATTGGTAATCCTTCAGAAAAATATAATTTTAAGAAATATGATCTGACCTTACAATGTGATAACATTTATATTTTTGCAATAAAATATATTTGCAATGTAATTTAATTGTTTAGTTTAAAATTTGATTTAGAATATTTAAATATATGCTCTGAGATTAGCCAGCACTGCAATGCATAAATTAGTACAAATAACCTACCTCTATACAAAAATTATATTCAGAACAAGAGTCTATTTGAGTTCCTGTTATTCTTTGCCAAAAAAATAAAGACCCCAAACTCAACAGCTTAAAACAATTTATTATTACCTTTCATGATCCTGAGAATTGACAGCTTCAGCTAGCAGTTTTGGCCTCAAGTTTTTCGTATGGTTGCAGCAGAAGGCATTGAGGCTTCAGTCATTTAAATGCCAGCCAGGGTAGATTTTCAAGTTGTCTCACTCACCTAGACATCACTGACAGTTTATTTTTGCTAAATAACAGCTAGGAATTCAGCTGTTTTAAAGAGAATTACCTACACATGCCTTCTTCATACGGCTTGAGTTTCCATAGGTTGGCAGCTATGTTTTGAAAGGAAACACCTTAAGGAGGTAAATCTTGAGAGTGAACATTCCAAGGGGCTTGGGTAGAAACTACAAAGTTGAATAGGACCTATTCTCAGACATTCAAGAATATCACTGTTTCCATTTATACAGGCCCAGAAAATCACTAAAGATAGCCAATATCCAAGAGCAATTAATGTCCATACAATAAATAAAATTAAATAAGTAAATAAATTTATAGATTTATTAAAATATTGAATTTGATAATTTAGGTGACAGAAATTTGGCCTTTAAAATCACAACAGATAAATTAATCACACTGTAGATTCACTTTCATTCCTTTTTACATTAGTAGATAGAAATATCAGACTGTAATCTGATTATTTATTACATTATTTTAAATATATCTATCAAAAATGGCCCATAGAGATGACATGAGAGAGAATAGCAGAGCAAGAACTATCAAATATTCTATCCTCCAAAAAGAAATGTGAATGAGGATACCGGCCAAAAAAATAGTCAAAATCAACTTTTTCAGAATTCTGGAAATTAAATGCTTGCAACAATCTGTTGAGCATTTATTCAAGGAAAACAACTGAATTTTGTTAAGAACTGTGCATTTAACAGTATTTTAAATTGCTTTCTTCCCATCCTCTTCTCTACAGCTATGGGTTTGGTATGAAAACCAACAGAACCTCAAATGTAGTAAAAACTAGCAACCTAAAAACCATGGCAAGTGACAGAATGGGGTTGGACCTCCTCCAAATCCCCATTATCAAATAATATCATTATTTGACCTGTGTGGCTGTTCCTCAGGAAAACATCAGTTACAAGTCTTGTCTTTATTTTACCTCACTCAGAGACTATCCAGTAAGAGAAGCTTTTTCCCCAGGAATATTTGCTGATGACAATCAGTGACAGGTGTTTAACATCATAGCTGCCTGAGGCAGCAATAACAGTTGTGGAAAACAAACTAACAGCAACAACAACACAACAAACCTGGAAAGAAAGAACTGGAAAATGATAAGAGCAACTGAAAAGCTTAGACATAGTCTTGGGACTCCATAAATCCAATTGTAGTTGAAGGATTTTGCGTATGCCCATAATTGTGTGCACGTGCAAGAAAAAGTAGAGAAGTTCCTTACCAACCTCACCTCTGGGTGTGTAAGCAAGAAGTGAAGGTTATAGAAGTGTTGCAAACTTCCTGCCTAAACACTGGTCATGTGCCTCAACATACACACAGAAACCATAATAAAAGGATAGGAGACATACAGAAATACTTAAAAGATATAGTGGGTTCTGTTTGAGGCCACCACAATAAAGCAAATACAGCAATAAATCAAGTCACACAAATTCTCAAGCTTCTTAGTTCATAAAAAAAGTTAAGTTTACACTCTACTGCAGTTTATTAAGTGTGCAATGGTGTTATGTCTAAAAATGAACATACCTTAATTAATAAGTGATGTATTGCTGAAAAATGCTAATGATGATCTGAGCCTTCAGTGAGTTATAATTCTTTTGTTGGTGAAAGGTCTTGCTTTAATGTTTATGGCTGGTGACTAGATTAGGGTAGTAGTTGCTAACAGTTGGGGTGGCTGTGGCAATTTCTTAAAATAAGACAACATCGAAGTTTGCCATAGCCAGTGATTTTTCTTTCATAAATATTTCTCTGAAGCTTGTGATGCTGTGAGATAGCATTTTACCTACAGTAGAACTTTTGAGAGGACTGACTCCAGTCCTCTCAAAACGTACTGCTGCTGCTTTATCGACTAAGTTCATAAAATATTCAAAATCCTTTGTTGTCATTTCAACATTGTTCACAGCATCATCTCCGGAAATAAATTCTATTTCAAGAAACTGCTTTCTTTTCTCATCCATAAGAAACAACTCTTCATCTGTTGCAATTTTTCATAAGATTATAGCAATGCAC
Source organism: Homo sapiens (assembly GCF_000001405.40). Taxonomy (NCBI): domain Eukaryota; kingdom Metazoa; phylum Chordata; class Mammalia; order Primates; family Hominidae; genus Homo; species Homo sapiens. The sequence continues at coordinate 116,745,343 of NC_000004.12, forward strand.
TCACATATTTAGGCTCCTCTTCTTGTCTTATGTATCTTGCCATTGCCACCATATCTGTAGTTGTTTTTCCACTGAAGTCTTTAAACTTTTACATCAACCATGAAAGCTAAAATTCTTCCAAACTCCTGTTAATGTTGATATTTGGCCTCTTCACATAAATCATGAATGTTCTTAATTGCCTCTAGAATGGTGAATTCTTTCCAGAAGGTTTTCAACTTACTTTGCTCAGTCCCACCAGAGGAATCTCTGGCAGCTACAGACTTATGAAATGTGTTTATTAAATCGTAAGACTTCAAAGGCAAAATTACTCTTTGATTCAGGGGCTGCAGTGCAAATGTTGCGTTAGCAGGAATAAAAACATCATTAGTCTCCTTATACATCTCCATCAGAGCTCTTGGGTGATCAGGTACATTGTCCATAAGAAATAATATTTTGAAAACAATAATTTTTCTGAGTGTTGTCTCAACAGTGGGTTTTAAATATTAAGTAAATCGTGCTGTAAACCGATATGCTGTCATTCAGGCTTTGTTGCTCCTTTTATAGAGCACAGGCTAAGTAGATTTAGCATAATTCTTAAGAGACCTAGGATTTCCAAAATGGTAAATGAGCACTGGCTTCAACTTAAAGTCAGCAGGTGCATTATTCTCTAATAAAATAGTCAGCCTGTACTTTGGAACTTTGAAGCCAGGCATTGGCTTCTCTTCTTTAGGTATGAAAGTTCTACATGGCATCTTCTTCCAGACTGTTTTATCTATAATGAAAATCTGTTGTTTGGGAGGCCGAGGTGGGCACATCATGAGGTCAGGAGATTGAGACCATCCTGGCCAACATGGTGAAACCCCGTCTCTACTAAAATACAAAAAATTAGCTGGGTGTGGTGGTGCGCCTGTAGTCCCAGCTACTAGGTAGGCTGAGGCAGGGGAATAGGGGAATCGCTTGAATCTGGGAGGCGGAGGTTGCAGTGAGTCGAGATCCCACCACTGTACTCCAGCCTGGCAACAGAGCAAGACTCCGTCTCAAATAATAATAATAATAAATAAATAAAGAAAATGTGTTATTTAGTATAGCCACGTTCATTAATGATCTCACCTAGTGATCTCACCTGTGATCATCACTGATCACAGACCACTTAAAAAATAGAGTAGTGATTAAAAAGTTAGAAATATTGTGAAAATTAGCAAAATGCCACATAGAGACATGAAGTTAGCATATGCTTTTGGGAAAATGGCACTGATACACTTGCTTGACTCAAATTTGCTATAAACCTTTAATTTTTAAAAACACAATATCTGCAAAATGCAATAAAGTGAAGTGAAATAAAATCAGGTATGATTATATTAGTTCCAGTTTTTTAAAGATATCTTGATCCATCATTAGCTGGTTACTAAGCTAGTTGATGGAGTCTTCAGTGGCCGCAAAGGACAGAAACCACAGACATAAAAAGACAGTTGAGAAAAATTACTAACCAAAATATTGGCAAATGACAGTAATAATCATCTACAAAACCAGATTCTGGTGACATAAAGAGAATCCTATTTCCTGAGATGCCACACTATATTATTTAAAATGTCCATTTTTAACAACAAAATGTAAAACATACAAAGTAACAAGTAAGTATGGATAATACGCAGTAACAAAAACAATCAATAGAAATAGTTTCCAAAGAAGCCCAGTGGATTGATTTGCTGGACAATGATTTTATTTAGATAATAATTTTAATATTCTAAATATTTTCAAAGAAGGAAAGAAAACAATAGTATAAAACAATTAAGCTTAGTCTAAACAAGTAAAGGAAAATATGAGAAGTATGTCTGCCCAAATATAAAATATTAATAAAAAGATATAGATTATTAAAAATCTGAATGGAAAGTTTTTATTTGAAAAGTATAAAAAGAGAAATAGAGAATATTAGAGATTTTGATAGCAGATTTGAGCTGGTAGAAGAATCAATCCGTAAATTTGAAGAGAGATTAATTAAAATAATCCAGTTTATAAAGCAAACAAAATTATAGGAAATGAAGAGATCTCAGAAACCTGTGCTCACCCGCAAGTATACCAATAAACATATAACAGGAGTCCTAGGAGTGGAGATTAAGTGGTGGAAAAATTACTTGAAGAAATAATGGCTGAAAACCTTCAATATTTAATTAAAAACATTGATCTACACATCTAAGAAGCTCGGTGGACTACAAGAAAAATAAAGTCAAAGGGATCTGCAAGCAGCCATATCAAAACTGTTGAAAGCCAAAGACAGCTGGAATCTTTAAAGCAGTAAGTGGTGAGTCAACACTCCATTTACAAAAAATCTTCAATAAATTTAACAATTTATGTTTCACTGGAAATTTTAATGTTCAGAAAGCAGAGATATCTCATATTCAAAATGCTGCAAGGTGAGATTGTCAACCTGAAATTCTATCACCAGCAAAACTAACATTGAAAAAATCAAGGAGAAATTTCCAGATAAGCAAAAATTGAGAGAATTTATGGCTGGAGGACCAGGTCTACAAAAAAAAAAAAAAATACTAAAGGGAGTCTTTCTGGATGGAAGGAAAGGTCAACAGATACTAACTCAACTGCACATAAATAAATATTACCAGTAAGATTAGTAACATGTATAAATACACAAGAGGTTTTAAATATTTTGCTTTAATTTTGTCTATTATCTATTTTAAAAGACAACCACAGCAAACAGTAATGTTAAACCTGTATCAATAAGCAAACAACATAATAATGATATAATTTGTATATCAATAATAGCACAAAGTTGAGGTGAGGATAGAGCATATCTTTGTAAATTATAAAGGTGGAAAATCTAGATTATTATAAATTAATATGAAAATTATAATCCCCAAATCAACCATTTAAAACTAAATAAAATAATATACAGTAAAATAAAAAAAGATCTTTTGAAGATATATAAAAATTTATAAAAAAAGAATATCATAAAAAAGAGGTATACAAAAGTGAGACAAATAGAAAACCATTTGCTAAATTACAGAAATAACTTCAAACTTTCCAGTAATTATATTTAATATCAATCAATTAGACATCTCATTAACAAGGCACAGATTAATAGAATGGATTTAAAAATTTGATCCAAATATATGCTGTCTTCAAAATATTCACTTTACATTCAAAGACACAAGTTTGTGAAAAGTCAATGGATAAATAATATAAAATGGATGAATTCTATTGAAATAGAAATATATGTATGCACACCGTAAACAAAAGAAAACTGGAGTAAATACACCAGTGTTAGATAAGACATTAGTAAACATTAGTAAAACATTAGTAAAAAATTATAACTAGAAACAAAATAATCATTTTATAATGCTAAAAGTGTTAATACGTTAAGAACCATTAAAAATTAGTCCAGGCGCAGTGGTTCACACCTGTAATTCCAGCATTTTGAGAGGCCAATGCAGGTGGATAACCTGACATGAGGAGTTCGAGACCAGCCTGACCAACATGGCGAAACCCCGTTTCTAATAAAAAATATAAAAATTAGCTGGGCGTGGTGGCAGGTGCCTGTAATCCCAGCTACTTGGGAGGCTGAGGCAGGAGAATCGCTTGAACCCAGGCGGTGGAGGTTGCAGTGAGCCGAGATCACGCCATTACACCCCAGCCTGGGTGACAGAGTGAGACTCCATCCCCAAAAAAAAGCCTTAAAAATAAAAATACATGCATGTACCAACAGAGTTTCATAATGCATAAAACAAAAGTGAACAGAGGGCAAAAATAGATAATACAAAAATAATAGTTGAAAAATTCAATGTCCTACTTCCCATAATCATTATAACAAGTCCAAAGAGCAATAATGAAATGGAGTACTTGAACAACAGTATAAACCAGTGAGGCCTAACAGGCAACTATAGAACACTTCACCCATAATAGCAAAATATACATTCTTCTCAAGTATGCCAAAAATATTCTCCAGAAAAGAACATAAGCTAGGCCATAAACAAACCTTAATAAATATAAAAGCTTTCAAATCATGTAAAGTATGTTCTTCAACTATAGTAGAAATAAATCATTAAACAATAACAGAAACAAATTTAGAAAATTAAAAATATCAAAAAATTTTCAAAAATCCCCCCCTAAATAACTAATACTTCAAAAATAAATCACAAGATTGTTTAAGTAATATTTAGAGACAAATGAAAATGAAACACAACATGCCAGAACTTATACAAGGAAGCTTTGAACACTGTTATTAGATGTAAATATTATAATGAAAATGAGAAAAATATCATATCAACTACCAATGGTTTCACCTTAAGAAATTAAAAACAGAACAAACTAAATCTGAAGCGAGCAGAATAAAGGGAATAATACAGACTGGAATAGAAATAAATAAAATAGAATATAGAAAAGCATTAGACAAAAACAATGAACCCAAAACTTTGTTTCTTAAAAAGATGAACAAAATTGACAACCTTTAACTATATTAGGTGGGAGAAAAGTAGAGAAGAGTCAGATTACTAAAATGAAGGATGAAAGACAGAACATTACTATAGCTCTTATAGAAATAAAAAGAGTATGAATAATTTTAAGTAAAAATTAATCTCAATAAAATGAGCAAAGGGTTAAGACACAACCTACCAAAACTGAATAAAAAAGAAAGTATGAATAATTCCATATCAATGAAAGTCATTGTATTAACAATGATAACTTAAAAAATTTTCAACAGAGTAGCCCAGGACAAGATGGGTTCACTTTGAATTTTACAAATGTTCGAGGAAGAGTTAACACTGATATATTACAATCTCTTTCAGAAAGTAGAAGAGGAGGGAACACTTTCTATGAAGCCAGCATTACCCTGATCCCAAAGTCAAGAGAAGACATTACAAGAAAAGACAATACAAAAAAAAATCCATCAACAAAGTAATAAATATTGCATAAACTTTTCTTTTTTTTGAGTTGGAGTCTTGCTTTGTCACCCGGGCTGGAGTGCAATGGCGTGATCTCAGCTCCCTGCAACCTCCGCCTCCCGGGTTCAAGCAATTCTCCTGCCTCAGCCTCCCAAGTAGAGGGGATTACAGGCACCCGCCACCACACCTGGCTGATTTTTGTATTTTTAGTAGAGATGGGGTTTCACCATATTGGACAGGCTGGTCTCAAACTCCTGACCTCATGATCTGTCTGCCTTGGCCCCCCAAAGTGCTGGAATTACAGGCGTGAGCCACCACGCCCAGCAAACATTTTTTTCTATAAGAATATTTCCAACCCCCATCTGTTAGTAATTTCACTTACCTTACAATGCTTTTAATACTGCAAATATTTATTTTTCCATGCTATTATATATGTATATACACATATATATAATTTGAATTATAGAAAAATGGTAGTATTTAAAGCTGACTTTAAATCTATATAAATTTAGATATAACTATTTCTTTTAGTGATCTATTATTAATGTTTCTTCATACATCTAGTTCTAAATATCTACATATATAGATATCTAAATATCTACACTCAAAGTTTAAATAATTTTACTAAATTTGGTTATGATAGTTTGCGTTTTTGACTGAGACACAAAAAATCAAATAAAATATTGTGGTATTTATATAAAAATAATTAAACATATCCATATTTTGAAGTCAGACAGATCTGAGTTGCTTCCTGGCTTTATTTTTATTATTTTTTTGACTTTAGATGATTATTTAATCATTTTCTTACCCTTGTAACATAGGCGCAAGAATATCTACAACATAATAGTTTTAAGCAGTTAAATAAACAAAATTGAAAGGCACTTGAATGCAATGCCTGTCAAAGAGTGGGGATTAGTAAGCAATGGTAAGTACATCAGCAAAATGGTACTGCTTTGAGAACCATTTATACAATTAACTTCTGGGCTTGCTAAAAATCCAGATTTCTATGACACCTCCTCAAATTCTGATTCATATAGGGAAGGAGGAAAAGAACAAAAATTTGTATTTTGGACTTGTATCTTTGAGCTCATTTTTATGTTTATTATATCCTAATTCCTATGATTCCTAAGAACTAAAAATTATGTTTCCAGAATTATAGATAAAGTATTATTGCAATATGCTTCATTTTGCTGTTATCTGTTATCTAAAAAGTACTTTTTTTATTTTTTCTTTTGTATAGTAGCTAATATATTCACTTAAGTGATTTCATCATCAGTTCAGTCCTTAAAATGATGGTTCACAAATCCTGGAACACTTAACTTCTACTTAGCCGTACACTGCTAGCAATATAATCTTTTGAGCATCTGCATTTTTAACAAACTTCTCATTAATTCATTTTAATTTGCCATTATTCACAAATCACTACTTAGGATATTTAGGCATGATACCAACTTGAAAATATTTATAAAATATGATCACATGTACTCCCTACTGTCATAAGATATCTGTAAAAGACTCTAATAAAATTTATTCTGCACAAATTAAACAAGAGAAGTAGCAAATCTTCAAACCAAGAACAATCAAATTAAAAATTATTTTGTTGGTAAGAAATTGGTTAACACAGAACCTTGCATTGATGTGTTATGGTTGTGAGACAAAAAGGTATATTATCTGTTTAAAATTTGCATAAGAACCTTAGCAACATAACTTAGTTCTTTATAAGCAATTTCAAGGAGATCACTATGAAAATTCAATTTTAAAATGACTCTGTTAACACATTAATGAAAGGATTTCAATTTATTTTATCTAATGGGGTCAAAACACAAGTAAGATATTAGATTCTGGAGTTGTAGCAATATTTTATGATAGTCTTCTTTTTCAAAACCCTGTGTGCCAAATTAAATCTTGGAAGAAAATTGATGTACCATTAGATTCTATAATGATTGACTTGGCCACGGGCAAGCTGCTTACGGTAGATAGTTATAAATGAAAGTTGATTGCCCAGCTGTTGCTGGCACAAAAAGGGACTGTATCACTGAGCAATAGTTTCACTTCTCTACCCCAGCTTTTCTATTTTTGGCAGTTTGATGATGTTTTTGATTTTTTAAAGACATTTTTTGATAAAATTCTTAAATGTATACACATTTAAATTTAGGCACAACTGATTAAAGATAGAATACACTTCTTCAAAATGAGAAGTATAGGTTATTCAATACTTGTTATGATAATAATCTATAATATTTATGGGCAAATGATTCACTTATATGTGTAGGATCTAATAAGCAATCAGCATCATTAACAGAAATCAACATTATTTGAATTTTATTTATTTTCACAAATCAAATTATGAGTATGATATAAAATTTCCTATAATAATATTTTTGTCTTCTCAAGTAAAAACTAAACTTTAGTGGAATAGATACAGAAATTAAATGTGAAACATTACAGTATACAATGAATAAAGCAGTTTGAGGACTGTATGCATTAATGAACTTCAAAATCAATTTGATGTCATTATGGCTTAATGTTTATAAAATTATTCATTTAGTATACCTTTTACATTTAATTGCCTTGGTTAACCTGCTTTGTAACAAAATACTCTCAAACCTAGTAGTTTTAAACAATTTATTTGGTTTCAGATTTTTGTGGGTTGGCAATTTGGGTTGGCTCAGGTAGGCATTTCTTCTATGTACCTCAGCTGACTCACCGATGCTTCTGCTATCCGATGCCAATCACCTGAGAAGTGCACTGCTTTTGTTTGTTTGTTTGTTTGTTTTGTTTTTTAGAGAAGCCTCAGCTGTTTAGCCTCATCTCTGCTCCGTGATGATTCTCATCTGCCAGAAGGTTAGCAGCTTTATATGGTTCTGTGTTTCCCAAGAGCAACAGCTAACCTCTCCTAAAGCATACGCATTTTTAAGCCTCTGCTTGTGTCACATTTGCTTATTGCCTCATAGGCAAAGCAAATCACATCGATAATCTTAAAGTCACTAGGAGAAGTCATGACTGAAGGACATGAAACAAGAATGGAAAACTTTTGCAACCACTTTTCGAATCTACCACAGTCCAACCTCTGGCCACAAATTACCCACAATTTTTCCACATAAAAGATATTCTCATTGCCATCCTAGGACTTTCAAAAGTCTCATGAAATCATGGTATCAACCTTGAAGTTCAGAATTTCATGACCTTCAATTGTGTTCAAGAAGGTAGCTCCTTGAATACACCTACTCTTCATCCTCAAAGTTACAAACTAAGATATTTTCTGACTGTGACTCACCCAATATAAATGTCGAGGAGATTACCTGTAAGGGACACTCTTATTCCCATAAAAGCTGCTGCTCTTCAATGTTCTGAAATCCAACTGGGTACACTGCAAGGTTTATCTGTTCTGGGGAAAAATAATACATTTTCATTAGGCTTTTATTTTGCTCACTGGAAGGGGCTTCTCTCACCATTCTTTGAGCCTCTTGGCTCTGCCCTCTGATTTATTAACTCTTTTGCAAGACTTCCTTTATTTTTCCTAAGAAATGGTTTATAATGCTGCTAAATAGTTTTGTCAGTGTGCTTTCTGCTTGTAAACATTTGGGGGTCCGGAGACCTTCTCACAGTTTGAGTTAACTTGGACCCCTTTAGTCCAAGCTGTTGGCCCTCTTGCTACATCAACTTTTTAGTCAAGGCTGCATGTTTCAAGTTTTTGTTTTTCACAGTAGTCCTTCAGTTTTAGATATCAAAGTTTTTAAATAAATTTTCTGAAACTCTGTGCTAAACAAAACTAGCTGGTTTAAGCATGAATCCAATAAAAAATCATGGATTATCAGTTTGGGTTGGGTTCAGCTGCGTGACTCTCCTGCTCATTTCAGCCAGGCTCACTCATGTCTTTAAGTTATCCAGCTGGCTTAGATTTGGCTGGTCCGAGGTGGCCACAGCTGCTACAGCTTACCTATTCTCTGCAAGTTACATTTTCTTCCAGCAGACTATCCCAGGCTTTTTCACATGGTGATGGATGTCCCTGTCTCAGATTGGGTTTTCCAGAATTAAATTCACACATGGGTTGTAGGGTGCAAATTATTTATTTGTTGCTATCTTCTATTAAAAAAAAGAGCACAAAAAATAAAAACACATTTGGAAAGAGGGAGAAGGCAAACTTTGAAACAGTACCAACAAATCCTTGCTCCAGTCTATTAGGATCTCTAAGGTAAGTAGACTATCCAAAAGGGTTCACCTCCAGCAGCATGAATCACTGCAGCTGAGGCAGGCTCTGAAGGAGCTGATAGCTTTAGATTGTTTGCTAACTGCACTACCTGAAGTTGTACAGGAAGTCTTTCCTTGAAGACTGAGAGATGCTTCTCCAAGGTAAGCCTACATTTGCTTCTCAAATGTAGCCTATTACATTTCCTAAAGCTAGCAGCAAACAAGTCACGAGATCGAATTGGCTAATATTTCAGTGCTCTAAATGAAATCACATGGTTAAATGATACAACAACAAAGGAGGTGGGCACAAAGAAAGGATGAATTTGGGGCAATTTTTGCAAATTACTATACTGTGGTTCTATATTGTAACTTTCAGTGGCATCTTGCATTAAAAATAAACAAACAAATGCATATCACTATATTCTTATGTTGAAAATTAACTTTGTTCTCCCTTAAATATTTAAAAAGTAAAAAATAAGAAACTCAGGTGTTTAAAAACTGTGAGAGTAAACCTTAACAAATCCAGGAAACCAGCTATGTGTAACACTATTTTGATGAAGCCGAAGATTAACAGATACTTTCTCACAAAATTTAGAGCACTTTGAATAGTAGGTCCCAATGACATATATTTTAGATATCAAAATATTTTCAACTAGAGATTGCATTTTTTATTATGATGTTAAGATGATTTAGAGTTGAGTATCATCTAAATACTGTTTTCCTGATAAGGCTCACCATTTTCTATTTGGCTTCTATTTAACTTTCTCTTCCCAACCAAGAGCACTTTTAAATTCCTGACAGAAGGCTCAGAAAACAGAAGCAGCTTATACTCTGTTCTGTTTATGGCACTTTTTGAAAGACATATTCATGAGTTGGCAGAGACAGAGGCCAAGGCAGCCCAGCATAGCTGTTGATCATGTCTTAGCAAATGATGAGAGCCCTAAGGCATTAAGAATGTTCAAGCGTTAATAGTGGTTTTCCCACAAAGCAGTTCTATAAACTGGCATTTTGGCAAAGTTAGCACATCTTGCTTATTCTTTCAATAATTGCTTCTAAAACTTCATTATAAGTACAAAATATTAATCAGTTACTCACAATTAGATGTAAATGTCAGGCTTCTAACATAAATAAAATTTATTAATAGATTGCATTGATAACATTTTTATTACAATGCAAATAATAAAATTGTATACTTTGGATTCTAGCTATAAAATTATTTTAAATGGTTAATTTTGTTTTCTGAAAGTATCAACTGTTCAAATGACTGTAATTTTGCTATAGAAAATGTCCTATAAATAATATAAAGGAAAATTTAGCATTCCTAAATTTTATAGGAAAGCGATCTCAAATTTTTCACAACTTTATAATACAATGACTACAGTATTTCAGAGTGATTATTATATGAGTCTCACAGAAAATTAACTTCTTGCATGAAAGGGACCATAATGAGTCTGATTTTAAAACTGCCGTTTGAGCATCAGTCAGTGTAGGAAAACACTGCTATGGGGTTTTAGTTACATATCTTATTTCAGTTATTTAACTCAAAAGCATTGTTAGACCTAATATTCTTACAAATTGCCCCAAACATATGAACGTATGCCAACACATCATGTTTTTGTTAACTCAATTTTTTTTTTTTTTTTTTTTTTTTTACTATGACCCTGGTATACAAACCAAAGATACACTGATCGAATCATCTCCAGAGTTCATTACGGTAGCTTGGATGACAGAATCAAGTTTCAAATTAATTTCTGTTGGTTGAGATAAAGGCTGGTTCAAAAAAAAAACCAGCTATTTACAAGATGTGAGATGCATGGCTTATGATTACAAATATAAAATAGGACATTTGATATATTGAACATACTCTATGAATATTATTTTAAATATAGAATATATTATGAGATAGAAACAGAAACATTATTTTTTCTTCGTCTCTGCTGCCCACTTACATTGTTTCTGTATAGCCTTTATTTCTCTAATGCTAAATGAAATCGTAAGACATTTCTCTAGGATTCCATCCAGGTGATATGGAGGCGCCATACAGAGCCCTGCCTCTCCCACTGAATGTAACAATCATCTATGGACGGAATGAATGGGGAGGGTATTTGAGGATTTTGAAAAGTAAAGAAGCTGCTGGACAAGAGAAGGCACCAAAACTCAAAGTGCCACTAATCTGCTTATTTTTTATTTTCCTCTCTAACCACTCTAGTCCTCCACATGAACTTAGCTTAGTTGGAGACCTTGGATAGCAAAGCTTGGTACAGATAGAAAGCTCCAAGAGATGCCTTCTACTTCTGCCTAAAGCAACAGGGAACTGAATGCCTAAAGCTCAGAGTAAATGGGCAAATTTTCCTGTATTTTTAAATTTGTTATGTCTTGTACGTTTTTCTTTTCTCACATGCCTCAGACCCTAGAATTCCACTGGCAGTGGGTGAGCAGCAGAGACAGAAACAATACATTACTACAGGCTAACAGTAATTGAAACAATGAGAGATTTCTCATCAGAAGCCAAGTAGTATAAGAAGGAACCCACACAAAATATTTAAAATACTGAAAGTAAAGAATTCTCGGTGCTAAATTCTATAGACACAGTAAATATCTCTCAGAAATAAAGGTGTAATAAAGGTATTTTCAGAGAAGAAAAATTCATAAGACTAAGAGAATTCATAGTCAGCACATAGGCTATGAAATTATTGCTAGAGAATAAAGTAAATTCTTCAGACAGAAGATAAGTAATACCAGAAGGAAACCTAGTACACAAAAATATAAAGAAGGAAGGAAAAGCAACTGTAAATATTTAAGCAATATTTATTATATATGTATGTCTGACAGGATTTTCTATATAATATAGATGTAATATATAAGAAAACTATAGCATAAATTGGAAAGGGTAAAGGGAATTATATTGCAGTAAGGTTTCCACATTTAAAATGTAGAACATTAAAATATATATTCAAAATATTACATACATGTATATGTATATATACATATATATGTACAATATGGCATTTTATAAGGTCCATCAAGTTCACTTATTCAATAACAGCAATAATTATATGATGCTACACACTGGAGTAGCACTACATTTTATCAAAGAAGACAAAGTTACAGAGCTAAAATTCTAGGGGTTGATATAGTAATTAAGTAATTGATTATCTGTAAATCATTTATTTATAGTTATATTTTTCCAAGATGCCATCATACAATTTTTTGACCTAGAAATCCTCATTCAAGGAATAGAACCTATGGGTAGATTTGCAGGTATATAATAATATATGCAGGGCTATTTTTTGCACCATCCTTGACTGTATCATTGTTTCTGATAGCAAAATGATGTTGAAACAAGATGTTCATCTATAGAAGACAGAGTAAATTATTATTATATAACCATAAAACATCTTTGTAGCTGAAATAATAAGGGATGTTTTCATATTGATATGAATTGGTCACTAAGATATGCAGACATAAAAGATGTAAAGAGATATATTAAAAATCAAAGTACCTAACATTGTTAATAATATACCACCATTGGTGTTTAAGCTGGAAAAGGGAGTATATGTGTTGGCTTGAATGTGCATAAAATAGTCTCAAAACGTTCTTCAAATACTCTATGTTATAATTTGCATTTACATATAGGACTGATAATAAGGGGTACAATGACTGGAGCTAGATTTTCACAATATATTATTTTGCAAATTTTAAGTTTGGAAACATGAAGTGCATTAATACAAAAAAACACATAAATAAAAATTTAAAAATTATAATTTTGAGAAGGAGTTGCAGAGTGCCGGGTGTTCATCTCTTTTTGTTGTTGTATATTTTTCTGTTTTGTCAGTGGTGTGAAACATTGGAGAGAATATATGTCAGTGCACCCTAATGAGAGGTGAGAGAAGAACCCCCTGTCAGAGATCCTTCTAATTACATCCTCTCCCCTTACCTCATTCCAACAGACTATAGTGAAAAGCTGGTCCCTGATATTGATACAAGTGTTTATACCCTTAGGTAAAGAACAATTGTAATAAATAGGCTCAGAGGAATCTTGAGAGTAAAATATGAATCCCTTCCTAAAGATAAGTATAGTTTGAAGTCAGGTGGCATGATGCCTCCAGCTTTATTTATTTATTTATTTTTGCTTAGGATTATCTTGGCTATCTGGGCTCTTTGTTGGTTTCATATGAAATTTGAAGTAGTTATTTTTCCAATTCTGTGAAGAAAGTCAATGGTAGCTTGATGGGGATAGCATTGAATCTATAAATTACTTTGGGCAGTATGGCCATTTTCACTATATTGATTCTTCCTATCCATGAGCATGGAATTTTCTTTTTCCATTTGTTTGTATCCTCTCTTGTTTCCTTGAGCAGTAGTTTGTAGTTCTCCTTGAAGAGGCCCTTCACATCCCTTGTAAGCTGTATTCCTAGGTATTTTATACTCTTTGTAGCAATGGTGAATGGGAGTTCACTCATGGTATATAAGCACTTTTCTAATAGTGCCATAAAGCATTATTTTTATTTAAGTTATACAAATTATGAAGCAATTAAAAGCATGAGTGTGCGACCAAAATTTTCCTGATTTTTTGATTCTATGAAATATTTAAATATAAGAAAATTGTTGTGCTGTATTACCCTTGCTTTAACTCTCTTATACAGATGAATACTGGAAAGATTTGAATAATAAGCAGAAAAGAAATTGTTAATATGATAACATTATAAAATAGTTTGTGGAATCATAGTAATTATACTCTTTAAAATGCAGAGGAACTTTTCTTCTCTAGGGACAATGGGCATTGGTAGTTGAAAATAGAATTTGACATCCAAATATCCTAGGAAACTTAAAGTGATTCCAGGTACCGGTTGTACATAGTGATATTGCAATGAACATTTTAATGTTTTAAATATTTCTAATAGAATTTTCTTATAATCAATTTAATATTTACAGCATTAGGGGTGTCTGAATCTAGTTAAAAATCATATTTGGCCTTCTCATATAGCAGCAGATGCACTATTTGCATAAATAGAATGTTATATGTGAGCTTGTGTTTTTGGATGCCGCTGGATTTATAGCACTAAATAGTGTTTTAAGCAGATGGAAAAGAAAGTCTGCTGATGTAATAGATGTCAAGGTAAAAAAGCATTAATTTAGTTCTATTTAAAAATAGTAAATGTTTTTACAGTTACTCTCATATACTTTTGGATATATGAATGTATTCCTTCACTCATGGATGTATAAATCTTATATAGATAATTTGAGAAATAAATAAATGGCTTTAGTATTAATAATCCTTTCAAAACCCAGAGTGTTTTACACCTTAAATATATTAAATAATTTTATAAATCTATGTTTTTGTCTAATTCAATGTGAATAACACATTTGAACTCTTTGGTAACCACATATTAGTACTGGCTTAGGTTACAGATACCATCTTTCAACATCATAATTATATTTTAACTTAATTAATTTGAATTCATCATAACTACAGGCTTAATAACTTTTTAGAATGTATGATATTGTTATGTATATTCTTGGCATAAAAACACCTTCAGAGGAAAAGAAGTTAGAAAACAAGTTTTCTGTTTAAAATATGATACTGACCCATTTATCTTGTGAATGTTTACATCATTTAATTATAATACATCAATTAGAGACATGCACCATAGTGGAATAAGCATAGCTTTGAGTCAAGTATTCTTGAATTAAAATTTGTGCTCTATACTGATTATATGGCTAGACACAGAAAAGTGAATTAGCTCTGTTTTCTCAGAGGCATTAAAATGGATGATAAAGCTACCTCACAATCTTGTTGAAATTTTGTAATTATATATTCATGTATATATATAGCATGCATTTATATGTAGTTATATTTATACATACACATATATAATTACAAAATATATGTATAATTGCATATATACTCACAAATACATATATAATATGTATAAGTAATATAGAAATAATATCTTTTCAGGAAGATGTGCATAGATTATATGAAAACACTACATCATTTTATTTTAAAGATTTGAGCATCAACAAATTTTGGTATCTGCATAGGTCCTGGAACCAATCCCTCACTGATACTGAGATATGATTGTATTCTGGTGCATATGCTGCTTTCTGTGCCATGAGTAAAAAATTCATTTTTTTGAACAAGAATTCACATTTCTTTTACTATCATTCAAGACTGTTACATACTGACTTGTTAGCATGAGAGTACGGTAAAATCTTAGGCTTTTCATAGATGTTCATTATGCCTGAATATCTTTTTTTCCTTTATATAGCTAAATATTTTTCTATCATATGGGTAGAAAATTTGATGCAAATTTGGTTATTATGAATAAATAATATGGCATACTTAAATGCTAATCTTTCTGTGAATACATATGCTTTCATTTCTCTAGGGTAAATGCCTGGGAGTAGAATTGCTGAGACAGGGAAACAGGCAATTACAATAGTTCCTTAAGAACTGTGCTTGTTAAACACTAAAATACAGGAGGAGGTGGATCAAGGTGGCCAAGTAGAACTCTCCAGCAATTGCCTCCCCCTGCAAAAACACCAACTTAAACAACTATGAACTCAAGAAAGCACCTTTATAGGAACTAAAAGTCAGATGAGTGAACAGTATCTGGTTTTAACATCATATTAAAGAGACACTGAAAAGAGTAGCAAAGACAATCTTGAATTGCCAACCCTACTCCTTCCACCTCTCCTGGCAAGAGCCTCATGGCATGGAGATAGAATCTGTGTGCCTGAGGGAGGGGAAGCACGGTGATTGTGGGACTTTGCATTGGTACTCAGTGCTGCACTGTCACAGCAGAAAGCAACACAGGGCAGAATTCAGGCAGTGCCCATGGAGGGAGGGTTGTAGAACAGCCCTAGCAAAGGGGAATACTCCACCCCAGTGATCAGAACCTGAGTTCTGGCTAGCAACTAAGGTTCTGACCACTGGGATGGAGTATTCCTTTCTGCTTAAGTGCTCTGGCATTTTAAATAAACTTGAAAGGGAGTCTAGGCCACAAGGACTGAAATTCCTGGGCAAGTCCTGGTGTTGTGCTAGACTTGGGGCCAGGGGACATGGACATAGGGTGCCTGTGATCTAGTGAGACAGCTGGAGTGGCCAAAGGAGTACTTGCGTCCCAGCTCCCAAAAAACCCAGGCAGCACAGTTCTCAGCTCCAGGAGAGACTTTTTACTTCCACTTGAGGGGACAAGAGAGAAGAGTAAAGAGGACTTTGTCTTGCAACTTGAATACCTCCTCAGCCAGAGTAGAATAGAGCACCAGGCAGAGTTCTGAGGCTACCCACAACCCCCATTTCAGGCCCTAGTTCCTGGGCAACATTTCTTGACCCCCTCTGGTCCAGAACAGAACCCACTGCCTTTGAAAGGAAAGATCCAGTCATGGCTGGATTCACCGCCTTCTGACTAAAGGCTTCTTGAGCCTTGAATAAATATTAGTGTTAGTCTGACAGAACTCCCTGTGGTCTTTAATGAGACCCAGTGCTGTGCTGGTTTCAGGTATGACCCACCATATTTCCATCAGTGGGACTGAGGGACTGACTGAGGAAAAGAGAGGGAAGAGTATAGAAGACTTTTTCTTGCAGTCTGGGTAGCAGCTCAGCCACAGTGAGGTAGAGTGCCAAGTGTGTTTCTGGGGTCCCTGATTCCAGACCTTGGCTCATGAATGGCATTTCTGGACCTGTCCTGGGCCAGGCAGGAAGCCTACTGCCCTTAAGGGAGAGAGCCAGGCCTGGCAACTTTCACCAGAAACTGATAGAAGAGCTGTGGGGTCTTGAGCGAACATCAGGAGTAGCCAGGCAGTACTTGCTGCAGGCCTGGGCAGGTGGTAGCCCCAGAGACTCCTTATGCTTGAGAAAAGGAGAAGAGTGGGAAGAACTTCGTATTGCAGCTTAGATGCCAGCTGAGCCATAGAAGAATAAAGCAGCATGTAGATTCCTAAGGTTCTTGACTCCAGGACCTGGCTCTCAAACAGCATCTCTGGACCTTCTCTAAGCCAAGGGAGAGCTAAAGACACTGAAGGGAAGAAAAAAAGCCTGGCCAAATTCACTACCTGCTGACTGTAGAGCCCTTGTGCCTTGAGTGAACATCAGCAGTAGCAAGGAAGTGGTCACCCCAGGCCTTGGGCAAGATTGAGTGATGTGATGGCTTTGGGTCTAACCCAGCACCATCCTAGTCATGGTAGCCATAGAGTACTTATGTGACCCTCCCCAGGAACCAGGTAGCTCAGCACAAAGAGAGATTCCATTCATTAAGGGGAAAGTAAGGGAAGCAAAAGAAGAGTCTCTGCCTGCTAATACAAAGAATTCTCCTGGATCTTACCCAAGACCACCAGGGTGGTACCTCCAAGAGTCTGCAAGTCACAGCATTACTGGGCTTGGGGTATACCCTAATGCAGACATGGCTGCAGTGACCAAAAACTCAGATTACAACACCAAAGTCCCTTCAAATACCTGGAAAGCCTTCCCAAGAAGGATGGTTATAAACAAGCCCAGAATGCAAAGACTCTAATACTTATCCCTTCTATGCTGAGATACCAAAAAGCATCCACAACCATTGAGACTATCCAGAAAAACATAAATTCAATGAACTCAATAAGGTAACTGGGACCAATACTGGAGAGACAGAGATATGTGATTTTTCAGACAGATAATTCAAAGTAATTGTTTTCAGGAAGCTCAGAGAAATTCAAGATAACACAAAGAAATAATGCACAATCTTATTCGATAATGTAACAGAAAGATTGAAATAATTACAAATAATCAACCAGAAATTCTGGAGTAGAAGAATGAAATTGACATACTGAGAAATGCATCAGATTCTCTTACCAGCAGAAGAAATAATTAGTAAACATGAAGACAGGCTATTCAAAAATACAGTCAGAGGATATAAAAGATCAAAGAATTAAAAAAAGAAGGGGACATGCCTACACAATTTGGAAAATATTCACAAAAGGGTAAATTTAAAATGTATTGGCCTTAAAGAGGGGGTAACTAGGGATTGGGAATAAAGTTTATTCAAAGGGATAATAACAGAGAACTTTCCAAATCTAGAGAAAGACATCAATATTCAAATATAAGAAGGTTATAGAAAACCTAGCAGATTTAACCCAAATAAGACTATACCAGGTATTTAATAATCAAACTCCCAGTGGTCAAGAATAAATGAAGAATGCTAAAGTTAGCAAGCAAAAAGAAACAAATAGCATATAAAAGAGCCCCAATACATCTGGCAGCAGACTTCTTGGTAGAAACCTTATAGGCCACTGGGGAATGGAATGACATATTTAAAGTCCTGAAGCAAAAAGACTTTTATCCTAGAGTAGTAAGTCTGAAAATATCCTTCAAACATGATGGAAAAATAAATACATTCCCAGACAATCAAAAGCTGAGGGATTTCATCAACACCAGACATATCCTGCAAGAAATGCTAAAGGAAGTTCTTCACCTGACAGAAAAACATATTAATGGGCAATAAGAAATCATCTGAAGGTACACAGATAAGTACACAGAAAAACACAGAATATTATAATACTGTCATTTTGGTGTGTAAACTACTCATGTCTTGAGTGGAAAGACTAAAAGGAATCCATCAAAAATATTAACAAAAACAACTTTTCAGGACATACATAGGGTAATATAATATAAATGGAAACAACAAAAAGTTAAAAAGTTAAAAAGAGGGTGCATGAAGTGTCAAGTTTGCATTCGCTTTCTCTTTGCTTGTTTATTAGTTTTTGCACTCAGAGTTAAGTTGTCATCAGTTTAAAATAATGGGTTACAAGATATTATTTGCAAGCTTTATGGTTATTTCAAATTTAAAAAATCTACCACAGATACACACACCAATAAAAGCAAGAAATTAAAACCTACCACCAGAGAATATTAACTTCACAAAAGGAAAGGAAGGAAGGAGGGAGGGAGGGAGGGAGGGAAGAGAAGACCACAAAATAACCAGAAAACAAAGCAACAAAATGGTAACAGTAAGTACTTAATTATCAACAGTAATAATGAATGTAGATGAAGTAATATTCTCTAAAAAGAGAATATCTAAAAACAGAAATCTAAAAAGAGTAGGAGTAGGTACACTTATATTAGACAAAATACATTTTAAAACACCAACTATTAAAAGAGACAAAGAAGGTCATTATAGAATGGCAAAGAGGACAAGTTAGCAAGATAATATAATAATTTTAAGTATATAGGCACCCTACCTTGGACCACTTAGATATAAAAAGAAAATATTAGAACTAGAGAGAGAGAGAGAGAGAGAGAGAGAGATCCTAATACAATAACAGCTGGAGAACTCGACACCCCACTTAGACAGCATTGGACAGATTATCTAGACAGAAAATAAACAAAGGAACATCAGAAGCAATCTCTCCTATAGACCAAATGGACCTCATAGATATTTACAGATCATTTCATCTAACAAATGCTGAATACACATCTCCTAAGCACATGGATTATTCTCAGGGATAGACCATATGTTAAACCACACTATGAGTTTAAAGAAATACTAAAAAGTAAATTCATATCGAGTATTTTCTCTGACCACAATGGAATAAAACTAGAAATGAGTAACAAGAGGAACTCCAGAAACTGCATAAGCACATGAAAGTTAAACAATTTGCCCCTGAATGACCAGAGGGTCAATGAAAAAATTAAGAAGGAAATTAAATTTTTTTCTTAAAACAAATGAAATTGGAAACACAATATACCAAAACTAAAAGAATACATCAAAAGCAGAACTGAGAGAAAAGCTTAGAGCAATAAATGGCTACATAAATATGTAGAGAAAACTTCAAATACACAACCTAATAATGCATCTTAAATAACTAGAATAAAAGCAAAAACCAAACTGAAAATCAGCAGAAGAAAAGTGATAATAAAGATCAAAGCAGAAATAAGTGAAATAGAAAAAAACACATAAAAGATCAAAAATATGAAAAGTAGTTTTTGAAAAGATATGCAAAATTGCTAAACCTTCAGCCAGACTAACAAAGGAAAAAACAGAGAAGACGGAAATAAATAAAATCAGTGATGAGAAAGGACACGTTACTACTGAAAAAATAGAAATTCGAAGCATCATTAGAGACTACTATGAGCTCTATATATGTACGTATATTGGGATATATGTACTATATCCCAATACATTGGACCACCTAGAAAAAAATGGATAAATTCCTAGACACATACAACCTACCAAGATTGAACCATGAAGAAATCCAAAACCTGAACACACCAATAACAAGTAATGGGATCAAAGCTGTAATAAAAAGTTTCCCAGCGAAGAAAAGCCTGAGATTTGATGATTTCACTGCTAAATTTTACTAAACATTTAAAAAAGAATTGATAACACTCCTATTCGGACTATTCTGAAAAATAGAGGAAGAAACATTTTCAAACTCATTCTACAAGGCCAGCATTCACTTACAGCAGAACCTGAGGAAGACACACCAAAAAACGGAAAACCAAAGGCCAATACCCCGATGCAAAAATCCTCAACAAAATACTAGCAAACTGAATTCAAGAACACATTAAAAAGGTCATTCATCGTGACCAAGTTGGATTTGTCCCAGGGATGCAAGGATGATTCAATATATGCAAATCAGTCAATATGATACATATCAACTAAATGAAGTACAAAAACGATGTGATCATGTCAATTACTGAAAACACATTTGATAAACTCAGTATCTCTTAATGGAAAAAAAAAAACTAAGAAAAAACTTGGTATAGAAGAAGCACACCTCAATACAATAAAATCTTATATGACAGACCCACAAATCGTATCATACTGAATGATGAAAAACTGAAAGCTTTTCACCTAAGATCTGGAACAAGACAAGGATGCCCACTTTCACTACTGTTATTTAACATGGTACTGGAAGTCCCAACTAGGGCAATCAGACAAAAGTAAGAAATACAGGTCATCCAAATTCAAAAGGAAGAAGTCAAATTATCCTTGTTTGCACAGATTCTATGATCTTATAATAAAAACCTAAAGACTCCACAAAAATCTTAAAGCACAGAAAATTAACTACTTACGAAAAAAATTAACCAAAGAACTAAAATATCTCTACAAAAAAAACTATAAAACGCTGATGAAGAAAATTGAAGAGAACTTAAAAAATGAAAAGATATGCCATGTCCATGGATTGGAAGAATCAATATTGTTAAAATGTTCATACTACCCAAAGCAGTCTACAGATTCAATCTAGTCACTATCAAAACACATAGAAAAATACATTTTTTTCTATTTCACAGAAATAGAATGTATAGAGATAGACAGTAAATGGATGGTTATCAGAGGCTTGGAAGGGTAGTGGATGAAAGGAAGTGATGATAATTAATGGTTACAAAAATATATTCAGTTACATTGAATAAGATCTAGTATCTGATAGCACAACAGGGTGACTATAGTCAATGATAATTAAATGTATATTTAAAAATAACTAAATTATATAATTGGAATGCTTGTAATACAAAGAAATAATAAATGCTTGAGATAATGAAAACCCAACTTATTGTGATGTGATTACTGTGCATTATATGCCTGTATCAAAATATCTCATGTACCTAATAAATATGTATACCTATTATGTACACCTAAAAATTTAAAATTAATATAAAAAAGGAAATAGAGTCAGTTAATGTCTTCTGGAGAAATATGACAGACATGATGCCAAAAAAAAAAAAAAAAGGATCGACAAAGTGTGAGCAGGGGTGAATTTGTTGTTAAAAAAATGTTTAAATAAAAAGAGTTGCTCTATGAGATAAATCACATGGATAATAAAGGAGGTAAAACAGTTTTAAAAAGTTAAAGTTAATTTGCCTTTGATACACCCAAGAGAATATAAAGGTGATACAACAGGGGTGTACGAATGTAAAAGGACTTGAGAGTGAAATAAATATTGATTAATTGAATTTGGTATTAAAATTCTTCCCAGCCTACCTCCAACTACTCACAGTTTCCTTTCACAATAATAGAGTAAAAATGGCTTGAAACTTCTATTTCATTCTTATTGAATTTATCTAAAATTGTTACTAATATTTATTTGTAAACAACATGACTTTTATTTTAGAAATTTTCTATGATACTATTTGCAATCTTATGAAAGATACAATGGTATCTAGAGAAAAAGACAATTTATTACATTAAATTTTTTCATGTGATCGTAATTATTCATGATGAAGTCATGTAATAGGTATTCCAAATTATAATCTGTATTATATTATAAAGGTTGGGTTTGATATCCAAAAATATTTTGGTATTTTGGAAACACAGGCAACTCATAAAAAAAAATTTATCGTGGCTTGAGGTATTGTGAACAGTGCTGCAATAAGTAGGATTTTTTTAAAGATTTGCAAATAATCTATACACCAAACCCCCAGGACATGCCATTTACCTGTATAATAAACCTGTACATGTACCCGTGAACTTAAAATAAAAGTCAAATAATAAAAATTAATAAAAATTTCCTGTGGTACTAAAAAAAAAAAAACACTTGCAAATGATGCATGCTTATAGTAATGAATAACTTATTTACCCTAATATGATTATTATATATTATATGCCAGTATCAAAATATCTCATGTACCCCATACATAAAAATTTTAAATTATATTGATGTTAATTAAAATATGCTATTATTTTTAATTTTACATAACACATTTAATAAATTAATTGCTTTATAATCCAGGTTTCTCTGAAAAAATTACTTATTAAGTTGAATTATGAATTTTTAAAATAATAGTATAGACAGATATAATAAAAGAGAGGCTTAGTTTTTTCTAAATTTATTTATTTAGGCTCATGGTTGCAATCTATTTGCTCACTCTAATTTTTCTATCACAAGAAAATATTCAAAATTTTTAGAGATGCTTTGGAATAAAGAGAAAATAGTATTAGTTACAATTTCTATGTAGTAAAGAAAAAATAATAATAACCCCAATCCCTATGTAGTAAATTTATAATCATGGCATGGCATATATTGTATATTCACATTGAGCACAAGTTTTATTCCATGGTCAAAACACAACCAATACAAGTTGCCAGGGTGTGAGCAAAGCAAGTTGGTAAATAGCACCTATAGCTGTCTTCCTGTCTGCAAGCAGATTTTGCTTCAGTTAAGTAATAGCACTTTACATTTTACTGAAAAGCTTGTTGTTATTTAGGAGGTGTGGTCCTCAAGGATAATTCTCAAGGTTTGTAGAGCATAATTCTCAAGGACTTTTATTTAATAGGACTGGAGAGGGATCTGGACATGTATTTTATAACAACTTCACCAAACGATTTTGAAGTAAAGGATGAGAATCACTGCTCAAAGCAACCTACCTCATTTTCCTGTGTCTCTTTTCATTGTCGTTATATAAAATGGATATTATTAGTTATTGGTAGTCACTGAATATTATTCATTAACTTCTTAGGTATCTGTAGCTTAGATCTATCATTTTAAGGCTATGAAATCCTTTAGGAAATTTGAAAAGATTACAAAAGTAAAAGATTATTTTCAGAATTCTAATTTTATAATTTAAAATTTATTACTCAACTTTGAAAACAGGGAGTTATATTTTAAAAATTTCAGTTAAATCAACAATTAGTTTAGATAGGCCTTTTTTGTTATGCTAGGCAAATTTGAGGACTGGATGTGTACATAGAATCAGAAATATTTAGAAGTTTTTTAATACTTAACTTCATTACTACATAAGTTGCAAAGTGGGAAATTGTAAAGGAGATGATGGATAGGCAGATGGAGTTTGATTACATGTAATAATAAGCCATATATTCATATACACAGCAGTAGCAACTAGTCTTCGCAGAAATCAGCAGTTTAGTCATCTGTAAGTGAACCATTTTCCCAACACATACAATGCCAAATAGGGGATGATAATAGAGAAACTAGAGAAAATTTAATGTGGGAAAAATTTCAGAAAAGAATGACATGCTGCCAAAATAATTTTCTTATATTCCTACATTTATCTTTCACATTTAGAATTTGTTCTTTAAATTTATGTTTCTTTTATTTTAAAATTAGTTAAAATTACTTAAGTCATGCAATATTTATGACATAAAATATTACTATGTGAATATTATTAAGTTTTTATGTATGTCTTATGCCAGAAGATTTTGGATCAAGTATCCAAATTTTATTACTGAAGTTCTGCTATTGGCCAGGAACTTAAATGAAATGCAGATAAAAATTTATCTATTTGTAGATTTGTTCAAAAAACAAAAGTGCTTGGTTGAAGTATATATATATATATATGTATTTATATATATATATTTAAATATCTGTATAAATTTATACATGTTTATATATATAAATATATATATATATATTTTATAATAGGCACAGTATGCACAGCAGACCTAATTCTAAACACCATAGTTTGAAAAGATGAGCCCAACTAATTGTGCATCATTAGTGGCATGGAATTTGCAATCAGGAAGATTTGGGAAGAGAAGTGGAATGTTATATAAAGTATGAGGATTTGGGAAGTGAATGTGATAGTGTTTGAACTCTAAGCATCTCTGGGAATTCAGTCAGGTTTGATTCCTTGTTCTTTTTTTAAAGGAATGGAAGGACATCATATCATCATAATGCAGCTATAAATTTATGGCGCTTTTTTCTCTCACAGGTACATATACGAAAAAGTTTATTTTTCTTTTTTTAATAATCATAAAATATAAACTTCCCTAGCTCTAGAGAAAAGCATTCTTTCTTTCTCCAATCCTTTACCCACTCTTCAATGAAGGCAAATATACATAGGAGATGCAGTATAGCAAGTCCTAGAAATAGGAGAAAGCAAATAAAGCAAAAATTACTTCATTATGTTATCTTTTTCCTTCTTTTTACGGTAGTAACATATGCTTTTTTTTAAACAAAATACCCAATTTGATTTCTCTTTCTTTTTTTCTTTTCTTTTTCTTTTAATTTATTTTATTTTATTTTTTTTGAGAGGGAGTTTAGCTCTTGTTGCCCAGGCTGGGGAGCAACTGCGTTACCGCTGCTCACTGCAACCTCTGCTTCCCAGGTTCAAGAGATTCTCGTGCCTCAGCCTCCTGAGTAGCTGGGATTACAGGCGCCCACCACCACGCCCGGCTAATTTTTTGTGCTTTTAGTAGAGACGGGGTTCCACCATTTTGGCCAGGCTGGTCTCAAAATCTTGACCTCAGGTGATCCACCCGTCTCGGCCTCCCAAAGTACCGGGATTACAGGCGTGGGCCACCGCGCCCGGCCCTATTTATAATCTTTAAAGAATTTCAACTTTTATTTTAGATTCAGAGGGTACATGCGCAGATTTGTTACCTGGGTATATTGTGTGATTCTGAGGTTTGGAGTGTGATTGATCCCATTACCAAGGTACTGAACATAATACCCAACAGTTAATTTTTCAAACCTTGTCCCCCTGTTTCCCTCCTCGTTCTGCTAATAGAGACCGTAGATGACACAAACAAACGGAAAAACATTCCATGCTCATGGATTGGAAGAATCAATATACATAAAATGGCCGTACTGCCCAAAGTAGGCCCCAGTTTCTATCGTTACCATCCTTATGTCCGGAGTAACCAATGTTTACTTCCCACTTATAAGTGAGAACGGGCGGGGTATTTGGTGTTTTGTTTCTGTGTAAAGTCGCTTAGGAAATGAACTTCAGTTCTATCCATGTTGCTGCAAAGGACATGATTTTGGTCTTCTTATGTCTGTGTAGTATTCCATGGTGTATATGTACCACATTTTCTTTATCCCATCCACTGTTGATGGGCACCTAGGTTGATTCTATGTCTTTGCTATTCTGAATAGTGTTGTGATGAACATGAGAGTGCATGTGTCTTTTTGGTAGAATGATTTTTTTTTTTCCTTTAGGATATATACCCAGTAATGACTGATCGACTTACAACAGTGATATAATTCTGGAATTTTCTTCTGTTTTGCAATTTTGACTTGGAGTGCTGATCTCCCACATGTCATTATTTCAACTAGCCCTAAATGAAAGAAACAACATAATTAATAAAGTCATTCTCAAATATGGGCAATTATGTATTATCAAACACCTAAACATCTAGATTCAACTTGGCAAAAGAAAAGCAAATTTTCTTCCCCTTTCACATCGTTTATTTAGATTTTGACGGATTATTTTTAAAGAAGGTAATTTAACTGTGTTAATATATACTCTAAATGTCAATCTAAACGTATTTTTCCTCTGTATGTAATACAGTGTATTGATTATGAATTCATATCGTATTTCTGATTCATTTGTCATCATTAAAATAAAATTATTCCAGTTGCCAACAAATAAATGGGTGGATACAACACTCAATTATTTTAATGCTGCCCAAAATTGAGCCAAATATTGTGAATATGAATTAGAAAATCCTTTTATGTTTGTAGAGTGTATTTTTCAAAATATGATTAATTTAACTTTATATGAAAAAGATTATTTGAAGTTCAGAGCTTATAAACGGTTTAAAGATGTAGAATACATTTTTAATCTACCCCAAATGTGTGAGTTGATTACAATTTACAGGAGGTAATTAAATTACCACTGGGTCTGATGTTAAACTTAGCTGAAGCAAAACTATCTTAAAACAAAAGTGTATATATATATATATATAGTATATTAAAATAATTAGCTAGCTATCCAGAAATTGAACAGACCTGAATTCAGAATACTATAATAGGTAACTAGTTTTCAAAATTATAGCTCCCCCAATCTTCTTTTATATCATGCTGTTATCATGTTCAAAGAAGAGCTTATATCTGTCTATCTTTTTCCATAACTTGATATAGAAGACAGAGTTTAATGTAATCACTGAATCATGTGACTGTTGCAATCGGGAAATAACCAGTTAATATCTTCAGTATTTTAGCAACTCATTTTTTCAAAGATGAACTAAAAATATTAAATACGTATAAATTTCACAGGTATATATTTAAAATTTTTATTTTATTGCATAGATAGATAATGTGGCCAATATAGTAAGTCAGTTATAGATATAATTCTCAACTCTTTCTGGAGAGATACGGTTTATAGATTGCTTACATAGTGAGCCAACTCTCCTCTGATAGGTCTTATCAACTTAATGTCAGGGCTTACCTTTTTGTAGAGGAAGATAACCCAAGGACATCAAACGATTCCAGGGTAGGATCTCCCTCTACTGATTCCTATATGTCTTCCTAAGGAATCAGTATGATTGTCCTATTGAGCAGAGAAGTGATCTCACATTTTGATGGTGTCCACAGCAAGAAGAGAATCCTACATTCCATTCCAATCCATTGGTGTAGATCTGTGCAATGCTCTGTGCTTTATTATCTGTATCTTATCTTCTTATCTACTGGTACTATTGGTAAAAAGGCACTCACTGTATGCAAAAAAAATGTAGCATACATTAATGAAAAAGTATGAGATAATTATTTTGAATTAATGCACAAGCCTGATAAAACGTAAATTTTCTCAAGAATTTTCTGGTAGCTCTTAGTATGTTCCTAAACTGTCATGTGTTTGCATTTGCTTATGGATTGTCATACTCCCCCAAAGCTCTGATGTCATTTTAGGTTGTCCCTGGTTTGTGAAAATAGTTGAAATGTAATAGTAATGTATTAATCATAATTTTAAATCTAGGCCTGCATTTCCCCTTAGAAACAATGTTAAAAATATTAAGTTCAAAAGAAAGATAAAATATATTTATATTAGCTTTTGATAAATGTGATGGATATTTTAACTGTAGAATATTTAAATATTTTTGAATATTTTAATTATAATTAAAATATTTATAATATTTTAGAATGTTTTAAGTGTAACTTGAGTTTATTAGAACAAATCTAATATTAACAACTTATTTTTTCATAATAATAATTTCAAATAATTTTACTTAAAATTTTCAGATATGTCAATCTAGAGAGAAAAATGTTGATTAGTGATAACTCAGGGCTAAGTGAGAAAAGGGTGTGGAATAAAGTTTAGTTTCTTTTAACAGGATAGAAATATTTTAAAATTAGATTGTAAATATACTAAAAAAATTTGTATGTTTTTAAAAGGATATATGTTATGGTATATAAATTCTAAGTCAAGAAAGGTTTGTATGTTTATACAATTTTATGTTGAATTTCAAGACAGCAGTAGGATAACCTTGGGTTATTACTTCAATGCATAGTTTGCTTCTCTCTTTTTCTTATAAGACTTTGTGTGTAGTGCTTCGGATGTCTCTTGCAGCTACACATCAGTTTCCCCTTATTATACCTAAATTTTCTCCTCTGCTTGCTTTCCTTTTTGTCTTTTACTGCATTTTCTTTATTAATTATGTATGTTTCTTTTTTATGTTGATACATAAAATGCTTTAAACATATCCTTACAAACTGAAAATACTATTTTATTTTAATTTACATTATAATTATTTCTAAATAGGTTATATATTTTACCTACTGATATTCAATTACTATTTCTCTGAAATTATATTTTGATTATAATAGTGGTTAAACTCACAAATTGAAATATACTTCTTTCATTAAGAAATGTAGATATTAGTGCTGTCACTTTATGTTATCCTGAAAAATTTTAGCTCCACTACTTAGCAGTAGCATAGATTAAAGTATATTGTTTTATAATTTTACAGTTAACATTTTAAAATTAAAGTTTATAATTTTTCATATCTGCTTTTTCATTAGGTTGTTCAAATTTATATGAACTAACTTTTCTCGCCAGCAGCATGTGAACTAGATAATTCTTTTGGTAAGGCTGTACAGTGAAGTCCAAGATGTTAGCTGCTTCCTTCGTCTCTACTCACTGATGCCAGTAGTACCTCATATTTGTGGCAATTAAATGTTTCCCGACATTGCCAAATGACCCCTGGGCAGGTGAGAGATAAAAGTCACCAGAGTTGAAAATTGCTGAATAAATCAACATAGATCCCAGCAGCAGGCTCTTTTTCCACCTCTGATTGCTGCCTCCCAGACGTCTTCCAAGATGCTGTTTCTCCTACTTACCAATTACATATTTATGTTTGTAACGCCCAATTTTTTGTCTCCCATGTTTTATATTTAATGCCCATGATGGGTAGTCTATAAATGTGGTTTCAATAATATTGGGGACATTTTACATAAAATACATAGTCAGTCTAAATCAATAAGTTGATATAACTATAATGTTTTAAATGTAAAGAAATTATTTTTTTCTAATTCAGTAGAAAATGGGATTGAAATTGTAAGCGAATATTGAGCCTCCACCCTGTATCTTCTGCATTAAGCCCTGTTTAGCTGGTAATAGTCTTATTTTGCCAGTGATTCAAAATCAGCAATTAATTGTATACATTTCAGGTTGCCTAACAGAGAGGACATAATAATCATTCAGGACTTACATAACCTGATTAACTGAATAATCACCAAATATTGCTGTGGAGGTAGCTAAAATATAATAATAAAGTTCACCTATTTATAAAAATTAAAACATTGAAAATTGGCTGCAACATTAAATCGATAAACCTTTCAATGCAAAATAATTTAATTCATGTCTTATGTCCCTCAAGTGTGATACATTCCTTAATGCTGCTTTTTAAAAAAAATTTTTTTAAAAAACTTCAAAAAAATGCTGCTTTTTAAAAAAACTTTTTAAAAAATACATTCCTTTTTTCTTTTTTTTTTATTATTATACTTTAAGTTTTAGGGTACATGTGCACAATGTGCAGGTTAGTTACATACGTATACATGTGCCATGCTGGTGCGCTGCACCCACTAACTCGTCATCTAGCATTAGGTATATCTCCCAATGCTATCCCTCCCCCCTCCCCTAACCCCACAACAGTCCCCAGAGTGTGATGTTCCCCTTCCTGTGTACATGTGATCTCACTGTTCAATTCCCACCTATGAGTGAGAATATGCAGTGTTTGGTTTTTTGTTCTTGCGATAGTTTACTGAGAATGATGATTTCCAATTTCATCCATGTCCCTACAAAGGACATGAACTCATCATTTTTTATGGCTGCATAGTATTCCATGGTGTATATGTGCCACATTTTCTTAATCCAGTCTATCATTGTTGGACATTTGGGTTGGTTCCAAGTCTTTGCTATTGTGAATAATGCCACAATAAACATACGTGTGCATGTGTCTTTATAGCAGCATGATTTATAGTCCTTTGGGTATATACCCAGTAATGGGATGGCTGGGTCAAATGGTATTTCTAGTTCTAGATCCCTGAGGAATTGCCACACTGACTTCCACAATGGTTGAACTAGTTTACAGTCCCACCAACAGTGTAAAAGTGTTCCTATATCTCCACATCCTCTCCAGCACCTGTTGTTTCCTGACTTTTGAATGATTGCCATTCTAACTGGTGTGAGATGGTATCCATTGTGGTTTTGATTTGCACTTCTCTGATGGCCAGTGATGATGAGCATTTTTTCATGTGTTTTTTGGCTGCATAAATGTCTTCTTTTGAGAAGTGTCTGTTCATGTCCTTCGCCCACTTTTTGATGGGGTTTTTTGGTTTTTTCTTGTAAATTTGTTTGAGTTCATTGTAGATTCTGGATATTAGCCCTTTGTCAGATGAGTAGGTTGCAAAAATTTTCTCCCATTTTGTAGGTTGCCTGTTCACTCTGATGGTAGTTTCTTTTGCTGTGCAGAAGCTCTTTAGTTTAATTAGATCCCATCTGTCAATTTTGGCTTTTGTTGCCATTGCTTTTGGTGTTTTAGACATGAAGTCCTTGCCCATGCCTATGTCCTGAATGGTAATGCCTAGGTTTTCTTCTAGGGTTTTTATGGTTTTAGGTCTAACGTTTAAGTCTTTAATCCATCTTGAATAAATTTTTGTATAAGGTGTAAGGAAGGGATCCAGTTTCAGCTTTCTACATATGGCTAGCCAGTTTTCCCAGCATCATTTATTAAATAGGGAATCCTTTCGCCATTGCTTGTTTTTCTCAGGTTTGTCAAAGATCAGATAGTTGTAGATATGCAGCATTATTTCTGAGGGCTCTGTTCTGTTCCATTGATCTATATCTCTGTTTTGGTACCAGTACCATGCTGTTTTGGTTACTCTAGCCTTGTAGTATAGTTTGAAGTCAGGTAGTGTGATGCCTCCAGCTTTGTTCTTTTGGCTTAGGATTGACTTGGTGATGCGGGCTCTTTTTTGGTTCCATATGAACTTTAAAGTAGTTTTTCCCAATTCTGTGAAGAAAGGCATTGGTAGCTTGATGCGATGGCATTGAATCTGTAAATTACCTTGGGCAGTATGGCCATTTTCACGATATTGATTCTTCCTACCCATGAGCATGGAATGTTCTTCCATTTGTTTGTATCCTCTTTTATTTCAGTGAGCAGTGGTTTGTAGTTCTCCTTGAAGAGCTCCTTCACATCCCTTGTAAGTTGGATTCATAGGTATTTTATTCTCTTTGAAGCAATTGTGAATGGGAGTTCACTCATGATTTGGCTCTCTGTCTGTTGTTGGTGTATAAGAATGCTTGTGATTTTTGTACATTGATTTTGTATCCTGAGACTTTGCTGAAGTTGCTTATCAGCTTAAGGAGATTTTGGGCTGAGACAATGGGGTTTTCTAGATATACAATCATCTCATCTGCAAACAGGGACAATTTGACTTCCTCTTTTCCTAATTGAATACCCTTTATTTCCTTCTCCTGCCTAATTGCCCTGGCCAGAACTTCCAACACTATGTTGAATAGGAGTGGTGAGAGAGGGCATCCCTGTCTTGTGCCAGTTTTCAAAGGGAATGCTTCCAGTTTTTGCCCATTCAGTATGATATTGGCTGTGGGTTTGTCATAGATAGCTCTTATTATTTTGAAATACGTCCCATCAATACCTAATTTATTGAGAGCTTTTAGCAAGAAAGGTTGTTGAATTTTGTCAAAGGCCTTTTTTGCATCTATTGAGATAATCATGTGGTTTTTGTCTTTGGCTCTGTTTATATGCTGGATTACATTTATTGATTTGCGTATATTGAACCAGTCTTGCATCCCAGGGATGAAGCCCACTTGATCATGGTGGATAAGCTTTTTGATGTGCTGCTGGATTCGTTTTGCCAGTATTTTATTGAGGATTTTTGCATCAATGTTCATCAAGGATATTGGTCTAAAATTCTCTTTTTTGGTTGTGTCTCTGCCCGGCTTTGGTATCAGAATGAAGCTAGCCTCATAAAATGAGTTAGGGAGGATTCCCTCTTTTTCTATTGATTGGAATAGTTTCAGAAGGAATGGTACCAGTTCTTCCTTGTACCTCTGTTAGAATTCGGCTGTAAATCCATCTGGTCCTGGACTCTTTTTGGTTGGTAAGCTATTGATTATTGCCACAATTTCAGCTCCTGTTATTGGTATATTCAGAGATTCCACTTCTTCCTGGTTTAGTCTTGGGAGAGTGTATGTGTCAAGGAATTTATCCATTTCTTCTAGATTTTCTAGTTTATTTGTGTAGAGGTGTTTGTAGTATTCTCTGATGGTAGTTTGTATTTCTGTGGGATCGGTGGTGATATCCCCTTTATCATTTTTTATTGCGTCTATTTGATTCTTCTTTTTTTCTTTATTAGTCTTGCTAGCGGTCTATCAATTTTGTTGATCCTTTCAAAAAACCAGCTCCTGGATTCATTAAATTTTTGAAGGGTTTTTTGTGTCTCTATTTCCTTCATTTCTGCTCTGATTTTAGTTATTTCTTGCCTTCTGCTAGCTTTTGAATGTGTTTGCTCTTGCTTTTCTAGTTCTTTTAACTGTGATGTTAGGGTGTCAATTTTGGATCTTTCCTGCTTTCTCTTGTGGGCATTTAGTGCTATAAATTTCCCTCTACACACTGCTTTGAATGCATCCCAGAGATTCTGGTATGTTGTGTCTTTGTTCTCGTTGGTTTCAAAGAACATCTTTATTTCTGCCTTCATTTTGTTATGTACCCAGTAGTCATTCAGGAGCAGGTTGTTCAGTTTCCATGTAGTTGAGCGGTTTTGAGTGAGATTCTTAATCTTGAGTTCTAGTTTGATTGCACTGTGGTCTGAGAGATAGTTTGTTATAATTTCTGTTCTTTTACATTTGCTGAGGAGAGCTTCACTTCCAAGTATGTGGTCAATTTTGGAATAGGTGTGGTGTGGTGCTGAAAAAGATGTATATTCTGTTGATTAGGGGTGGAGAGTTCTGTAGATGTCTATTAGGTCCGCTTGGCTAAGAGCTGAGTTCAATTCCTGGGTATCCTTGTTGACTTTCTGTCTCGTTGATCTGTCTAATGTTGAAAGTGGGGTGTTAAAGTCTCCCATTATTAATGTGTGGGAGTCTAAGTCTCTTTGTAGATCACTCAGGACTTGCTTTATGAATCTGGGTGCTCCTGTATTGGGTGCATATATATTTAGGATAGTTAGCTCTTCTTGTTGAATTGATCCCTTCACCATTATGTAATGGCCTTCTTTGTCTCTTTTGATCTTTGTTGGTTTAAAGTCTGTTTTATCAGAGACTAGGATTGCAACCCCTGCCTTTTTTTGTTTTCCATTTGCTTGGTAGATCTTCCTCCATCCTTGTATTTTGAGCCTATGTGTGTCTCTGCACGTGAGATGGGTTTCCTTAATACAGCACACTGATGGGTCTTGACTCTTTATCCAATTTGCCAGTCTGTGTCTTTTAACTGGAGCATTTAGTCCATTTACATTTAAAGTTAATAGTGTTATGTGTGAATTTGATCCTGTCATTATGATGTTAGCTGGTTATTTTGCTCATTAGTTGATGCAGTTTCTTCCTAGTCTCTATGGTCTTTACATTTTGGCATGATTTTGCAGCAGCTGGTACTGGTTGTTCCTTTCCATGTTTAGCGCTTCCTTCAGGAACTCTTTTAGGGCAGGCCTGGTGGTGACAAAATCTCTCAGCATTTGCTTGTCTGTAAAGGATTTTATTTCTCCTTCACTTATGAAGCTTAAATTGGCTGGATATGAAATTCTGGGTTGAAAATTCTTTTCTTTAAGAATGTTGAATATTGGCCCCCACTCTCTTCTGGCTTGTAGGGTTTCTGCTGAGAGATCTGCTGTTAGTCTGATGGGCTTCCCTTTGAGGGTAACCTGACCTTTCTCTCTGGCTGCCCTTAACATTTTTTCCTTCATTTCAACGTTGGTGGATCTGACAATTACGTGTCTTGGAGTTGCTCTTCTCGAGGAGTATCTTTGTGGCGTTCTCTGTATTTCCTGAATCTGGACGTTGGCCTGCCTTGCTAGATTGGGGAAGTTCTCCTGGATAATATCCTGCAGAGTGTTTTCCAACTTGGTTCCATTCTCCCCATCACTTTCAGGTACACCAATCAGACATAGATTTGGTCTTTTCACATAGTCCCATATTTCTTGGAGGCTTTGCTCTTTCTTTTTATTCTTTTTTCTCTAAACTTCCCTTCTCGCTTCATTTCATTCATTTCATCTTCCATTGCTGATACCCTTTCTTCCAGTTGATCACATGGGCTCCTGAGGCTTCTGCATTCTTCACATAGTTCTCGAGCTTTGGTTTTCAGCTCCATCAGCTCCTTTAAGCACTTCTCTGTATTGGTTATTCTAGTTATACATTCTTCTAAATTTTTTTCGAAGTTTTCAACTTCTTTGCCTTTGGTTTGAATGTCCTCCCTTAGCTCAGAGTAATTTGATCGTCCGAAGCCTTCTCAGCTTGTCAAAGTCATTCTCCGTCCAGCTTTGTTCTGTTGCTGGTGAGGAGCTGCGTTCCTTTGGAGGAGGAGAGGCGCTCTGCTTTTTAGAGTTTCCAGTTTTTCTGTTCTGTTTTTTCCCCATCTTTGTGGTTTTATCTACTTTTGGTCTTTGATGATGGTGATGTACAGATGGGTTTTTGGTGTGGATGTCCTTTGTGTTTGTTAGTTTTCCTTCTAACAGACAGGACCCTCAGCTGCAGGTCTGTTGGAGTACCCTGCAGTGTGAGGTGTCAGTGTGCCCCTGCTGGGGGGTGCCTCCCAGTTAGGCTGCTCGGGGGTCAGAGGTCAGGGACCCACTTGAGGAGGCAGTCTGCCCGTTCTCAGATCTCCAGCTGCGTACTGGGAGAACCACTGCTCTCTTCAAAGCTGTCAGACAGGGACATTTAAGTCTGCAGAGGTTACTGCTGTCTTTTTGTTTGTCTGTGCCCTGCCCCCAGAGATGGAGCCTACAGATGCAGGCAGGCCTCCTTGAGCTGTGGTGGGCTCCACCCAGTTCGAGCTTCCTGGCTGCTTTGTTTACCTTAGCAAGCCTGGGCAATGGTGGGCGCCCCTCCCCCAGCCTCGCTGCCGCCTTGCAGTTTGATCTGAGACTGCTGTGCTAGCAATCAGGGAGACTCCGTGGGCGTAGGACCCTCCCAGCCATGTGCGGGATATAATCTCGTGGTGCGCCGTTTTTTAAGCCCATCGGAAAAGCGCAGTATTCAGGTGGGAGTGACCCGATTTTCCAGGTGCCGTCCGTCACCCCTTTCTTTGATTAGGAAAGGGAACTCCCTGACCCCTTGCGCTTCCCGAGTGATGCAATGCCTCACCCTGCTTCGGCTCGCTCATGGTGCACGCACCCACTGACCTGCGCCCACTGTCTGGCACTCCCTAGTGAGATGAACCCAGTACCTCAGATGGAAATGCAGAAATCACCCGTCTTCTGCGTTGCTCAGGCTGGGGGCTGTAGACCGGAGCTGTTCCTATTTGGCCATCTTGGCTCCTAAAAAAATACATTCCTTAATGCTGCTTTTTAAAAAAACTGCTGCTTTTTAAACTTGTTTTTTAAAAAACAAAAAATTTTGTTTGTTAAACTTAACTTTCTCCTAGAATTTTGAAGTTTTAATACCTATAATATTGTCTCTATTTCTGTCCATCTACTGGTAAATTGAATGACAATAAAATAAATTTAATGTTTTTATCAAATAATCTCAGCAGGAATGTTTGTTTTCTTAAGGTATGGTTTGCTGCAATCAAACAAAATGTAAGTAATATAATTTCTTTTGTCAAATTAAAATAGAAAATGATCAATATTTAGGAAATATTTAATGCACTCACATATGTAGTATGACCAAAATTAAAAGGGAGTTTTATGATTTACTGTATGGCTTCCAAATGTAGGATGCAAGTGGCCAATTCTCACAGTAGGTCATTTACTCAAAACAGTCTGAAATTATTAAACTAAAACTCCTGAAAAGACAGTTAAGTGTATTCTAAATATCACCTGCACCCACCCCACTACACACACACCAAAATAAGAAACCTTAGTTTGTGTTTAAACTTTGACATGACTCGATAAGAAATTTGTCTCAGTCATTTAAATATTCAAGTTTAATGCTTAGTGTGGGACAGGATATTATTATCCTCATCCTCCTCTGTCACTTCCTATGACTCTATCACCATCATCTGTAAGAGTTACATCATCTCTTACCTTGGGAAAAACCAAGCAAATATGTATTATGATTTGCACTTTATGCACAAGATATCGCAGAGAGATTATGCTATTATATTTTCCTCAGATAGAACATATTCATAAGAGAATGCACATAAGATTTACAAGATAAGCAAGTTTTGACCAAGCGAGGTTTCCTTGGGGCAGCAGAAGGGAGAGAGAAGAACACTTTTTTACGGCCACAATCGTTTAAGAAAAAAGAGAAAAGAAAATAAGCCAGGCAGCTGGGCGCGGTGGCTTACGCCTGTAATCCCAGCACTTTGGGAGTCTGAGGCGGGCGGATCACGAGGTCAGGAGATCGAGACCATCCTTGCTAACACGGTGAAACCCCGTCTCTACTAAAAATACAAAAAATTAGCCAGGCTTCGTGGCGGGCGCCTGTAGTCCCAGCTACTTGGGAGGCTGAGGCAGGAGAATGGTGTGAACCCGGCAGGAGGAGCTTGCAGTGAGCCGAGATCGCGCCACTGCACTCCAGCCTGGGCGACAGAGCGAGACTCCATCTCAAAAAAAAAAAAAAAAAAGAAAAGAAAAAAAAAGAAAAAGAAAACTAAATAAGCCAGGCAAATAGCTTATACGACAGTGAGAAGCATGGTTATTGAGCTCTGG
This sequence comes from Homo sapiens, assembly GCF_000001405.40. Lineage (NCBI taxonomy): Eukaryota > Metazoa > Chordata > Mammalia > Primates > Hominidae > Homo > Homo sapiens. The sequence continues at coordinate 116,782,389 of NC_000004.12, forward strand.
CTAGCTTTAATTAGTCCCATTAGGGATGGATATGCGGGAGGGAGAGAAGGGACTCCAAATCTTCTTGCAGAATTGCCCTATACCATGGAGTCCAAAAGGAAGCATACCAGATCTTCAGAAGACCTAGGACTGGGCACTCATGTCCACTACCTTGAGAATGTCCCAGAGCATGAGTAAATTTGATTATTTTTCCTCAGGGTATTTTTCTTCAGGACAAGGGCAGCCATTTGCTACAAACACATGTTATCAGAAATTACATCTGCTTTTATCTCAGACCTAGACTTCTCAGAGAATGTGTTATCAAGGCCTTTTAGAAAGGTTCCAAGGACATTAGATAGGACATGTATTATTATCTAAGATACAAATAATATGACTGGGTCTGAATAAAATATCCACACAAAAGCTAAAGATTATCTAAAAATATAAGGCTCATTCTTTTAAAATGATTTTAAAATGTAATAATGTATCTAATTCTGGCTTGGTTGAATTTGGATATTATAACAGTGACCCACATGGTGGCCTATGGTGTGACCAGCATTGCCATGGTCCTCACTAGCTTGGAGAAACATGTTGCACAGCATACATTTGGTAACCAGAATAGAGGTCTAAAAGCATTTGTTTCATGAGACACAATCTCTCTGCCATAATTAGACTTAGCTAACTGACATCATCTGACTGCAAAGAAGTAGCCTATACATATCTCCTCTTTCCTTTCTGTCCCACAGATGAAATGTGCTTTTTATTTGCTATATCCAAGTTTAGAATAAATCCAGTAAGTGTATTGTATATGAGCAACAAAATGAAGGCCAATGGCTGGAGTGTAGCAGAGAAGAACAATGAGGCAGGTCAAACCCGATCAGGGTACGTTGTCCCTGGTAAGGAGTTGGAATGGTTTTCTACGTCTAACATGGATTCTTAGCTAAGATATGATACTTTTACTGGGCTTTTGAATATAAGCACTAAATGACTTTCTTTGGAAAAATGCAACCTAGAGGAATATCACAAGAATTGTTTTTTCAGATTCTTATGATAAAGTGCTGTCTTTAAATAGAAAATATTTTTATTATTACCATGAACTTTGTACTGAAAGTAAAACATAGCACTGAGAGAGAGGGGTTTTTCTTTGGCATTGTCAAATCAAAATAATGACTCTTGTTATAAAAAGGAGGTTGTTGTAAAACTTCAGAAAGTTGCAATTTTATAGGATTTGTATAACATTTTGAAGGTTGAAACATATTAAAAAATCATATAATGTATCATAAATCCACCAGCTAGCTGAAAATTAGTCATAATAAACTCACAATAAGGGAATTTGTTCCCTCCTTATCATGCAAACTGATAAAGCTTACATGCTTGGCTTAGGACACAAATTTTGTGCCAACAACGATTCCCTGTTACCTGTGAATAAGAATGAATCTCCTGTATAATTCAAGCAAAGACATTTGCCATATTAAAATCCAGCAGGAAATACTGACTATGTTAGGTTTCATCTACATCTATTTATACATATATTCATTTATTCTCTATGATTTTAAAAAGAATCTATTGTGTGTAATGCAGTGTATAAGATCACTGAAACAGGTAGACATAATATAGATTTGGGATAACACCACCTAGATAACATCACCTAGATATATCTAGATATATCTAGAATATATCTAGCTAACTAGCTATGTAAACTGACCTGTGACTTTCAAAGACTAAAAAATTGCTTCACTAACAATGTATGGGGTTAATCCATACTTTATTACTGGGATCTGTGATTGACACTCATCTTAAAAGATATATTCTTTCCATAGATGCATGATTCATAAGGCATCTTAAATATAGGCAGCTATATGGTTGAAAATTTGTTTACACTGGTAAATTAAAAAGTGGTGCGTATTATACCTTTCTTATGCTATGTATTAGTGTCAGAGTTACAGAATATATATCAATTAGCTGAGTTTATTAAATTCTGGTTTTAGTCCAGTTGAGGATTAGATAAAGAATGTCCATAAACAGTTTAATAAAAGAGCATGTAATAACAAGAAAACTCACAATATTTTAAGGCTCATAAAACGGAAAAATAAAAAATAAGCACTGAATATGTCTTTTTCAGGAGAAAGGAGGCTATAAAGTCATATATTTTTGTATATATAATGAACTCTTAGCTCTTTATTTTCTCAGGGCTGAATCCTTAGCAAACATGTACATTTTCTATCTATCTATTGACAAACAACGCACACACAATATATATTTATATATATATATGAAAATATATTTGCAAGTTTGCAATCCTGAGTGTCACAATCTATAAACATTACCAAACCACCACCACTCCTTATGCCACCAAAGTAAGAACACAATTAATAGAGGAAATGGAAGAAACATTTCATATATATATATAAAATCATGTGCTCCAAATTCCAGGAAGATAATTTTTACTGAGAAATTAGAAACTGAGCCTCTATTTGCAATGGCAGAAAAAAACTCATAAAGATTAAATATGTGGTTTATAGTTGTACTAAGAATCTCCTGGTATAAAACAAATACATGGTATGCATTCAACCACTATGTTTGTTACATTAGGCTAGACACTGCAGGCATAGAGCCAATTAAGAAACAGGCTTTGCCCTCAAGACACTTATAGTCTATAAAGTAGTTTTAAAACAGTGCAGTTTCCTGGAGCAGTTGTGTAACTTTCTACTTTCTTCTGAAAATAAAACCTGGCAGTTTTCAAGGGAAAGCACTCTGTTCACTAGTTTTGCATATTTCATTTGAGGGGGATTGCCATCTTCTTTCATATTTCTAGATACAGCATTCATTTTCTTAATGCAATAAATGTGTAACATACACTGAACCATGGAAATTGATTGAAAGGTAAATGTATGTGAACTAAGTTAATCTAATTTGAGTGAAGCTAAAAATATTTGATTATAGTTGAAGGTACAGATTCTATCTCCCCTTCTAGGCATGATAGTATAGGCTGGGAAATTTAAGCTTCCATGGCTATGACAATAGGATTGTATCTGTTAAGAAATCAGAAAGATGCCAGCTCTAAGAATGTAGAAGTGATAATGACCTTGGTGTTATAAAGCGAGTCCAACTTTTTGTCCCTCATAATGACATTGAGCTTCCCCAACAATATTCATTCCTTGAACAAATAAATTTTTGTTATAAGTGAACAGATTGGTTTCTTGCATGGAAGTCCAAAAATTACTGAATGATAAAATAATAAATAAAATTTTAGCAGCTTGTAGACAGCCAAGTTTAGACATGCATAAAATAGGTATATGAGTGGCCACAAAAATAGTAAAGAGTGGATCAGTGAGCAAATAGACAAATATGTGCTGATATATAATAAACCGAAAATGTAAATGGAAAGAAAACTCTGTTTAAAAGGAAATGTAGGGTGATAATTTTTAGATTTGTTTTTCTAAATATCATAACATGAAAATATAATTCAAATGGTAATGAGATTCATAAAAATTAGAATTCCTACCAATGATGCAATAACTATAAGAGGTACAAGGAATAATAGGAGATAAAAAATAAACAAGAAATATTCCATGCACAAGAAGATGTACTAAAGAATGTAAGACAAGTGTACTATGGCAAGATATTGTATTATCAGTGTTACAAGAGAAGTACGAAAATATTGTAGAAATTCAAATTTGAAAACGGGAATGTGAACAAGAGATAAGCAATATTTCAAAACTCTAACGGGAATATGTAGACATTTAACGATTATGTTTAACGAAAGTCCGTGGTACACAGAGGAGTACTGTGGAAATTTAAAAAGGTTATTTGCAGCTGTGTTTTGAGGTTACTAAGCTGAGGTGTTTATATATAGGCGACATCAGTTTTTTTTTTTTTTTTTTTTAAGCAAAGGAGGGGTATGAGGAGGACCAATCCTTAAGAAAGTTTAAATATGAGAGTTTTTAGGTGCTTGGACAAATTCTAAGATAAGATATGCTCATATGGTTATCTAAAGCAACAACTCTTGGGACATGTGTGTGTGTGTGTGTGTGTGTGTGTGTGTGTGTGTGTGTGTGTGCATGCACATGCCCATGTATATGTATTTATTTCTGAGAGCCATTACCTTTCATAAGGATGAAATTTTGCCTATGGTTAAAGTACATAAAATAAAAGATAATAGCAAAGTGGTGTTGCAGAGGAAACCAACCTTGAAGAGGTATATAGAAAAAAAAGACACTGTAAAATGAAAAATACCAAAATCTCAGAAGAAAACAGAGGATAGAGATGCTTCCAGCAGGAGATTTTGACCAACATTTTTTTTATTTTAAAAGAAGGGATAATTAATGAGTTCATATAAATGGCTATAAATATGATTCTTAACATACTAGGTAACAAACTACCTAAATAAAAACTAAAATCCCATTCCTACAACTATATAAGAAAGTGCATAAAAACTCTAGTGAGTATATAGCAAATATTACCATGAACTAAGATAATAATGGTAATTTATTCACTTATAGAATCTCCTCTGCTAGGATGTTAGGAAAATAAAACAAAAATGTTAATGGTTCTAAAATTCATCAAATCAGTGTTATACTTGATGCAAAGTATGACATGGATAAAGTATAATATTTAAAGCAAGTAGTCTGTACTCTGATTATTAGTTCAAGTGGAATGCTTGTCACTGTCCGAACAGGTTTGCTGAAGAAGCTAGTTGTGTCTCAAATAGGGAAAGAAAATTATATATATATATATATGTATATTATATATATAAAATGTATATATATATCATATATATTTTATATATATATCAAATAGGGAATATATATGTTCCTATATATGTTCTTTTTACATACATATGAGGTCTTATGACTACTTGTTGTAGATGAATGAATGAATTCTTTAAAATTAATTTTGAAAAGGAAACAAGCATTAATAATTACTTTGAACTTGAATGATTAACTACCATTCCAGAAAAATTTTGATCTGACAGTTTTAGTTAGAAAAATGTTATTCTCATAAAAGCAGGAAAATTTGTTATACCAACATATATTTCTGAATACTTCATTTAGTTTATATTATTAGAAAATGTTTCTGTAGAACTCCCCCCCAAAATTGTTATTATTTATTCTTGACCAATGAAAACTGTTAATTAGTTGAAAATATTTAATCCTTATATGTTTTTGGATACCACTGAAACAATTATTAGAACACAATTAATTTTAAGTGTTATGGTTTGTCAATATATTTACAAATCTGTAGAGTCTGATTAATTGATCTTATTTGAAACAAGTTTTTTAAATTAATGTTAGTTGTCTCATTTAAACAAGAAAATTTCTCTTACTGAATTTTCCAATGGCTTCTTTGTTAATAATCTCTGGATGACATTAACAGAACTGACCTTCAGGGAATGGCATTCAGAGAATATTAATTAGAAAAAAACTTGCTTACAATTCCATTAATATTTAGTGAATATTGATAAGATTGTATAATGGGTCATCAGATAATTTTGAAGATGAAATTAAGCAAGCATTTACAGTAAACACATTAATTATTAAAATAATACAGTAGATGAAAAAGGGAATTATTATTTAATGGTTACAGAGTTTCTGGGGTGATGAAAAAGTTTTATAAATGGAGATAATGGTTGTAGAACACTGTGAATGTATATTTACAAATGATTAAAATGGCAGAAGTTGTGTTGTACATATTTTCCACAATAAAAAATTATTTACAAAAATAATACAATAGGAACAAAGCAATGGGGGTGGGAAATGTTCTTATAATTTGAAAATTGACTGTTAGAGAACAGGAATACAATGTAGTCTTTAAGTATAAATGAACTAAAATTCACTTTGCAGTGATAAAAAACCCACCTATGAGTGAACATAGGAAACACTTCTTTGTAAGAATGCCAACCTTAGTATGTGTATGTGTAATGAGAAATATTGTGGAGGACATCTTTTGAAAATACAATAAATATTTGCCACAATTAATATAACTTCACATTATTGCTGAAAAATGTAGAGGTCTAGTTAGAACATTAAAGCCAAGTAACTTTCCAATTTAGACAAAACCATGAGTTGTCATCAATCTCTATCCACTGATATTTTTGGATGACACATAATAGCAATGGCGTATGTTATGGTTTGAATGCCTGACCCCTCCCAAACTCATGTTGGAAATGAATTGCCATTGTAAGACTGGTAAGAAGCAGCCTATGACTTAGGCAGGCCCAGGTGCACCCTGTGTGGCAGCACCACAGGGCACAAGCACTAAGCTTTGGTGGAGTCCATTTGGTGCTAATTATGCAGGTACAAAGAGTTTGTAAGCTGTAGGGCCAGGGTGGCCTCCACCTAGATTTTAAAGAGTGTATTGGACAGCCTGGGGGCCCAGGCAAAAATCTGCCACAAGGGCAGAACCACCACAGGGAATTTTCATTTTGGCAATGCTTAGTGGAGCCAAAAAGAGTGTGGCTGTTGCTGAGACCTCAGAACTCTTAGACACCAGTGTGCAGCCCCAGCCTGAGAGCTGGAGGCACAAGACTCTGACCAATGAGAACTGCTGCATAGGCTAAGCCCAGCTAAGTTGTGGTTTGCAGGAGGCCCAAGCCCTTGAGGGCCTAACTCCTAGCTCAAAATGCCCAGAAGGTGGGGTATGGAGTCAAAGGAGATTATTACGGAGCCTATGTAACAAACCTGTACGTTGTGCACATGTACCCTATAACTTAAAGTATTAAAAAAAAAAAAATTCAATGCTGTTCTCCCTATTAGATTTTGAAGATACTTGGAATCAGATACCCCTCTTTTCTTGTCTACTTCTTCCTTTTGGAATGGAAATGCCCATCTTATGCCACCATTGTATTTTGGAAGCATATAACTTGTCTAGTTTCACCGGCTCAGAGCTGACAAGAAGTTTCTCTCAGGATTAATCATGCGTTGAATCTCACTCATCTCTGATTTAGATGAGACTGGAATTTGGAGTTGATGTTAGAATGAAATAAGACTTTTTTGGATATTGGAATGGACTAAATGTATTTTGTACACGAGAAGAATGTTAGTTTTGGGGGCCAGGGACAGAATGCTATGGTTTGAATACTTGTTCCCTTCCAAACTCTTATTGAAATTTAATTGCCATTTTAGCAGCATTAAGGAGTGGTAACTTTAAGAGATGATTACACCATAAAAGTTCTGCCTTTATGAATAAATTAATGCTATTATTATGGAAGTGTGTTTCTTATAAAAGGATGAGTTCAGTCTCTTTTGTGTCTCTTTCACCATCTCTGTGCCTTCCATTATGGGATGTCTTCTGCCATGGGATGACACAGCAAGATGATCCTTGCCAAATGTTGGCATCTTTATCTTGGACTTTCCAATCTCCAGAACTATAAGAAATAAATTTCAGTTCTATCTAAATTATCTGGCGTATGGCATTCTATAAAAGCAGCACAAGACAGACTAAGATATTATACAATGTGGATAAGCAATAGCACATACATATTGAACCAAACGTATAGTTTTTCCATGATATAAAACCAATGACTTACTGATTGTATAAAAATAATACACATCTAGAGGAAATAAAATGCATTATTTTTCTGTTTCTAAAATTCTATGCTATACAAAGTGTATTTTATTTTAATAATAATTGTTTGTCTTGTTATTATGTAGATTTTTAAAGAGTTTTTGGAACACTATTTGTAGAGAACGAAGCATACACCAGTAAAATGAAACAGTGCTTTCTTCAGGGAACAATTGTTAGTCAAAATTTAGCCTCCTGGTCTTGAATTAGTATTGAATTAAACAGTGAATATAAAGATGCTGATGCTATTTTATTAACAAGATTGATAATTCACCAATTTTCGAGAAGAAAGATGAGAACTACCAGAAGTTAGAGAAATAATATACTACGTTATGCATTACATGTTGTAATGACACCGTTAATGGCAATATATTTTTGTGATTGCATGTGGCTCGCTCAACTATTGTATGTCAGTAATGTAGTCAGGATTTGAATACTCTCAACATATAACTTTGTAGCCAAAATATGATATTTTTGTGATTGAGGATAATTCCTTAAATAATGATCATGGTATTAAATTGTTCATATACTAAGAATTTAAGTATGGCTCCCAAATGCTTGATGATTTGTTTTAATCCATGAGGAAGGGAAATTGATGGTGTGTGGTGTTTATTTTAACAAACAATTCCAAATGTTTCAGTTGATACCGAAATACATTGCAGAGCCTAATTTAGGAAAATAGTACAACAATTCACTTACTACTGCCTCTCAAGATGACAAATGCAATGTTTCAACTTATGTGAGTAATAAGTTTGTTAATTTAGCTTCTAAATGTGTTGTTAAAAGTAGTCTTCAAAGAGAAATTTCTCTGTAATTTCTGGATCCATATTCATTTGCTGAAATTTAAATAAGGCCAACATTCTTATTGTTTATAGTCATAAATTAGAACATTCTAATGGAAATAATTGTCAAGAAAATAAAGGTAATGGCTGCGGAGCCTTATTTTTTTAAATATCAAAATCATATTGAATTGTCTATCTAAGGATTATAAGCAACACTATCCCTCTTACTGATATGACTTGGTAGGTTTCATTGTATTGCAGCTGATGTCAATCTTTATAAAATTAGTAGCCTATGGGCAAATGAATTCTAATTAAGTACTCTGTAGATGCCAAAAGCTAGTAAAATAATCTACGATTGTTCAAGTTCATTACCTGAAAATAGTACCATTCATATTTTATCTTTGCAAAAGGATGACTTATATTTTGGCATATAATACCTTTTAAATAAATTTACTTGCAGTGAATCTAATTGAATTGACTAGAAATCTAATAAGGTAATGAAAGAGTGGAACATTTTTCAAAAGGAGCAAATTAAAGACTACACTTCAGTGAAATAAAATATGAATTGCCATAGATGAGAGATTAGAGTCTCTAATAATGCATGCAAAAGTAAAGAAAGCCTTCAATTTGCTTTAGGCAAAGTTGCTAGATGTATTTAAGTGTCAAATTGAAGCAGAAGTGGAAAAACAAGGAATGGAATTACTTGTTGGAAACACATAAGCTCTAGAAGTTTAGATGTTTCCCAAAGGGTTATTTCTGTATACAGGAAATGTCATAGGTTAGAAGCAAACATTTTTACTTTTAAAAATGTATCCAGGCATTTAAATTACATAGTAAAGACCCTCACTGCTGGTGAGTGAGTATCATCAGCTCAATATAGATGGTTGGCAGATAATGACTTTGAAATGCTCATACCCACATTTGACCAAGGCATTAACCCAGCATATCACTTTTTCTGTCTAGTCCTTAGTTGTTCACCTAATGATGACAGACCACCAGAAGACACTGATTATTTTCTTCATTATCAGGAGGGATGCTGAATGAAACATCCAAAACTTTTATCCAACTCTGAATTGGTCATTAAGATAAATATTTTAATGGCCTACTTGAATAAAGAACGGGAATAATTTAGAAATATGTTTTTAAAAATTTTAAGTGATATATACTATCTTATAAATACAATGCTAATTAAATTGCATAAAAATAAAATATAGCAGTATAATTACTTATAACTGTAACATAAAAAACTAAAAGTTTTGTAATTTCTTAAATTTAATATTAAATTCCAAAAGAGTTCACCACAAAACAAAGTGAAACACAAAGGTGGATGAATATAATTTGTAATAATATCCATACATCTTATATTCAGTCTCATTCTCCCCACACATTCTCACAAATCAAACAAATGAATAAAAAATGTTAACAAAATAAACTCTACTAAAGCCGAGTCAGAACAAAAATTTTGCCTAAATCTATGAAGTTAGCAAACTTGGGTGTAAATCCAGGTTGTCTGACTTTAAAATCATGTTCGTCATATATGAACCTAACTCAATTTTTAGTCCAACAATATTTAAATGTTTGATATGTACTTTATATTTTAACATACTTGAGAAATGTATAACTGCACCAGGAATATCTAACTTTCCTCATATGTGTATCTTTGGATATGGCCTATTCAAAATGCTAAACCAGAAGACTGATTAATTGTCTGTAATATACAAATTTGAGGACTTACATTTATGGAATTTTAGACAACTCATAAAAAAACTGACAGAAAAAAAAGGTTAGGAATGGATAATTCATACTTACAAATATATCCAAATGGCTAGAGCGCATGTGATTAGATACTCTGATGAAAATTAAAGGGAAGTGGGATATTACTTATTCCTCATGTATATCAGGATGTTTCAAAGAAGTGTTTGTGAGGTGGAGGTAGAGATGTTTTTGTAGAAATATGTATGGCAGCACATAATTCCTACTAATTTGTCTCTTAACTATTTAATTTAGCAGATAAGTATATGAAATATACACATTATTTTATAGTTTGTACCTAGACATCATTCATTGCATGACTCTCTCTTTAAAGGCATAAATGACTGTAACCCCTGGGAGCCTTCACTTGAGAGGTAAAGCACTTCATCCTAATATACAAAGAACAGTTGAAGCCTGCCTAATATAAAGGACAGCCAAATTTTCATTCATTTAACCTATAAATACAACGGGCTTTCCCATGCAACTGTGAACTATTTGAAAGAACATATTTTTACTGTAGCTGACGTGAGAAAATAAGAAGCAAAAGAAATAAGATATTTCTGAGCTTTCTCAAAAGGAGTATTTCAGAAACTATTTACTTTTTGCTTTAAAGCTTAGTTTGGATTTAAACTTCTCAAATGAAAATCGAAACTGAGAGGAGACTAATTTTATGCTTCTTTGAAAAATGTTGCCAATGATAGTTATAACTTTTTGAAAAACGTGTAGATGCTTGAAATTGAATGGCCGTTTATTATACTCTACCTTGAAGGAGTTCAAAATTTGGGACTAAATTTCATTGTTTCAGTTTAAATTCCAGAAATCTGTTTTTAAATGATATTATCTTAATTTCACAAAAATAAATATGGATTTAGCTTGTAACCTCAAATTATTTACTGATCAATTATTGAATATCATTCATTACAGTAAAATTTTAGTCATTGTCCCACATTTGTGTTCAAGGTTACAAGGTATTCTTTTTTTATGAAACTTCAGTTATTAAAATTATCAAGTTAAATCCACTTAAACTTTTAAAGAAAATCATAACTCAAAAACTGAAACTCTTGATACTGCATTAATAACAAAATTTTAGGTGTCTGAGTTTTTATTTAATGTATTCTCATAATAGCATTTGGATACTGATATGGCTCCTAAATATTGGTCCCCCTGGAATTAAAAATATGCACTTTGGGTAAAGTTCAAATGTGCTAATGACCAAGAATATTCTATGCACTTTGGGACATGTTGCGCCATCCATTGATGCAGATTTTTCCCTACCACTTCCCTACCACATTCTAAATTTTTGAACCAATTACTTCCTGTGTCTTCAGAATTTTATTTCTCTCTCTTTGGTTCTCTTTTTAAGGTCCTCTGCCAGCTGCTCACCATCTTCCCATTTCATAAGTGTTTGTGGTCTGGTATGATTAATTGTGTCTTCTTTTCTTGAAATTACTGATGGACCTCTTCTAACATATACTTCTTTTTACAGGATTAATCATGTTCTATGTGGTGATTATTCTCTAACTTACATCTCCAGTGCACCTTGCTTTCCAGAACCCCAGACCCTAGAGCCTAAGCATATCTACACTAGAAATCCATAGGTAAAATAGGCAAATATCTAAACTGCATAAGTTTATTTGTGTGTTTTCTCAACCCTGGCCCCTTCTGTTTCTTAGTAATGTGAATTGATTCACATGCAGCCAAAGCTACTAGTGTTGGTATTACATTTGACCCCGTTTTTTTCCTCAGGCCCAATATCTAAACAATATTTACCAAGTACTGTAAATTACATATCTGTGGAGTTATTTTGATAAATACTACCACTGCTATAGTCCGTATTCTATGTCTGTACCCTTTTATTAATAGCAGAATGCAGTAGGAGAAAAGCATGAAGCCACACTAAAGAATTTTGTCTTAAATTCATGGCTACAAACATTAAATGGACCTTTTAAACTGTGCAGCATCCATAGAAGAACTTGTCAGTCCTCAAACCATACCACCCTCTTATGTGGTTATTTTATACTTTCTCCTCTCTCCTCAAACCACATCAACTGCTCCAGCTCTGTTATTACCTGATGGCTTTGCTTCCCACTTCATTAAGAATGTTGCATCCACGAAATCTTGCAGACTCTCATAACCACAACCATCCAATTACCAACATAGGCAAACACTACCTCTGCCTTTGACCTTGGATGAAATTTCCATGATGTGGTGATAAAATATCTCTTCTTGTGAATGAGACCCAATCCTTTCTTGTCTGCCTAAACATATTACTTTGAAATTTCTCTACTCTCTTGTCTACAATATCAAATTTTCACTCTCTACCCTATCACCCCATCATTTTCGTGCAAGCATGTAAGTTTCTCCTGATAATCTTCTGTCAATTACTGTCCATTTTTTTCTGGCTACACTAGATAGCAAAACTTTGTGGGTGAGTCCTTTATACTCTCTGCCTCACATTCCACTCCTCCCATGCCTTCTGAAACCCAATTTACTTCATCATTCTATAAAAACTTCTCTTTTCAAGGGCAGCAATAACCTCTATTTTGGAAAATTCAATAGTCAATTTTCAGTTCACATATTGTTTGAGCTAAAAGCAGCACTCCCTCCTCTTTGATCCATTTCTCCACGTGGCTTCACTTTGTCTAACTGTTCACTCTATCTCAGTCTCATTTATGGATTCTCCCCTTCTCCCAGCTTTTTAGTGCTTTTGTGCATATTGTTTTGAAAATATATGTATAGTTTTTTTCTAATCTGCTAATATGATAAGGCATTTCCATGTAGCATGCTGTGATGATTTATCTGTATAATTAACATGTTCAAAGTGACATAGCCATTTATTAGATGAAAACCTGTCTAAGTTAATGAAGAATTTAAAAACTAAATGTTGTCTTAGAAAAGGAATTCCTGTGACTTTCTCTCATTGCCCTAAATAACAAGCTGAACATGTAGCATTGTAATCATGGAATCTTTTGAATTCCCTCCATTTACACATCAAAGTCTTTCAACAAAATAGATAGCATGGTGAAAATGAAAACAAATTTTTTTCAGTATAGACTGGAATTTTTTCATAAATTAGAGTTTGAATACCTTGCTTTTTCTCACCAAGTTTTTCAAAGCTTCTTCAACAATAAAATAATGTTCTCAGAATGTTTTCATTGTACCCACTCCTAACGTGCTATTTCTGTATGCCACTGAACATCATTTAATGGGTATTTATATACTTTTATTTAAAAATGTATTTCTTCTTGATATTTATATTTGAAGATAAAACATAAAATTTATTCAGTTCACTAGTCTTCATGATATTATTCAGAGATATGTTCTACCCATAAAAATTTGAGGTAAATATTTCTCAATATTTCAACAAGTCACTGCTAAAATGCTGAGACGTTCTGTTTGCAATGCAATTCCTGATGCTTGTCAGACTTAATAAATCCCCATTAGTTAAGAATACAGCACTTGGTGAAATTGTTTCCATTTGCAAAAGTCTTTCAGGAAATGTAAAATATTTCAGTCATTTTGGCTATTTTCAGTTATCTCGGCTAACATTCTCTGAGAAAAGGGATTCATTAAGACATTTGACTGGATTTTCGTATTCTTTATTTGCAAGATCTAACCTATAAATCTTATACCTGCAATCTCCAGATACTTTTCATATAATGCAGAAACCTAGTACTTCCCGAGATTTTGCAGCAACTCCATAGGGCACTTTTACAGAAATCCTCTAATGAGGAGCTTCCTGGTGGTGAGTTGCTGGTGATGCAACAGACTGCACCTCACACACCTCAGAGCACCACACTCAGCAGGCAAAGCCTCTGGACCACACCTGCCCTTCCATTTCCTCCCTGCCTTTTAAAGGTGACTACTGACAGAGGAACCCTGGATATCTCTGATCTTTTAATGCTGAAGTGTCTTTTGTCTCAGTCTTTTTTTCCCTTTATTTCCTTAGTTAATCTCATCCAGTCCCATAGCTTTAATACGTGTGCTGACAAAACTCCCAAATTTATATCTCTGCCAAGATGCCTCACTAGAACTACATACTCATATCAAACTGACTACTTGACATGTCTTACAATGTGAAGTGACATCCAAATTTATCATATACAAAAGTAACCCCAAGTTTTTTCCCCAAAACTTATCCACATGCCACCGTACTGATTTGGGATTACAATTTATTTGGTATCAGCAATTTTTCAGTTGCCCAGGCAATGGGGGCCATCCTTGACTATTGTGTGTCATACCATTGTCCAATACATCAGAAATTCCTGATGTCTCTAACTTGAAAATATATGTGTTATTTAATCATTGTTAATTACCTCTGTTGTTATCACTCTGCATCTACTCTGACAGGGGTCAGTATAATAGCTTCTTAACCAGGCTTTCTGCTGCTACACCTGCCTTCTTACAGTTTTTTTCCCCCCTCAAAATAGTACTCAGTGATTCTTTTAAAGTAAATGTTTAAAAGAGTACACACTATGTTACTCCTGGGCTTAAAATTCTGCAATGAGGTCCTTTTGTACCAAGAGCAAAAGGTGAAGTCTTTGCAGGGGGCTACAAAGTCTTATCTTTCTCCTCCACTTGCTCCCCCACCACCAGGCTCCTGCTTGTTGTTCCTTGAACAATCTAGGCACGCTCACTCCCTGTGACTTTGCTCTGGCTGCTCGTTAGTTTTTTTTTGACAGTGCTTGTGGCTTTCCAACAGAATATGTAATGTATCATTTTATTATATTTATTTTCCTGTTACTGGAATGTAAGCTAAAAGAAAGCAAGGTTTTCTATGTGTTTTTCTCACTTATATGACTACCTAGAACTTCACAAAGATGTGTGGAATGATTAAATAGACTATATTATATAGTATCTGCTTATGTCTAATAATCTTTCACTTGAAAAACTATAGAATTTGCAACGATAGTGATATTTATAAAATACAAATCTGAAGATATTAGACTCTTTCTAAAAATATATTAATTATTTTCATCACCCGCCTTTAGGATAAAAATCAAATTTGAACTTGGGTTAAACAGTTCTTCAAGTCTGCTCTTGCCTCACTTCCCCAATATTATCTTTTATTATTCTCCATCACAAACTAAATAAATATACAGAATATTATTTTATTTCTTCCAGGTCACTAAGGTTTCTACTAATTCTAGGCCTTTGTACTAGCTGTTCACTTTTTCTACTACCTCTTCTGTTTTCCCTAGCGAGTTTTTCCTCATTCCTTATGTCAGAATGTGGAAGTTACCTCCAGGAAGTCCTTCCTACTCCAACAGATGAGGTGTCCTTCCTAAGTGCTCCAAGAGAGTCTTCTCTGTTGATGCAATGAATAATTGCATGTGGCATTGTGCTAATATTGTTTACTTGGCTCTCACCTCTCCTAGAACTAAGCTCTGTGAGAGCAGAGACTCCAGATACCATTATCTATGCTGTATCCCGATTGTTTAGCATAGTTACCTTAACATTTAAGGCTCTAACTAATATTCCCTGAAAAAAATAAGTAATTGCATCAATAAATAAACCATCAATGAGCACACAAGTCTGCCACCATGGGTTTCTGCATTTTAATTGTGCTCATGTAGCACACAATCAGGCAGCTTGCAGGAAAATGCCAAGGTGATAGGATTCTTACCGAGTAGACTGTAAACACACTATGACCCAGCATCTTGCTATATTTACATTAGCAGAATATTTTGTATAATTTTTGTTACTCTACATAGAATATTGATTTTGACTTGCCAACAGAATATATAATGTATCATTACATGTTTTTAATTGTATTGTTGTATCAAAGACATGCTTTTAATTAGGGGTATGTAACTCATTTAACAGAAAAGCAAAAGTTATTTCAATTGCTTTTTTGAAGTGTTATTACATCGTGTGTAAACATTAACTAAAATTTGATTACAAATTCTATTATAACTTCGATTTAATTTTTTAATAAAAATTTTAAGTATTCTTTAAAAATGTTTTTTTTTCAAATATGACTCGTTTATTTTATGGCATTTGTGTTGTGTTGCTTCAGGCAATACTGTGTGGTGAGTCCAAACATCATCGACTCTGGAGTCACATTCTCTGGATTAGAAATTGCTTCTTATCAGCCCCATGGCCTTGAACAATATGCATACAATCCTTGTGTGTTCATTCTTCATCCAAGAAATGCAAGTGATGACAGTACCTACTTCATGAAGTTGACATTAATATTGAATATATTCATACAATGTATACATAGCAAGCATGGAATGAGTGTTGACTATTATAAATGTTACTTATATTTCAATTAGATTTATAAAACATATTGGCTTTTGGTATGGAGAGTGCAAGAGTAGTGAAATATTAATGTGCATGCCTCAGGATGTTTTAAATAATCAATGATTTTAACAATGCCTTGTGAATACTTATTCTTATAACTATTCTTGGAAATACTTTAATAAAACAAGGAAATGATGTTAGAGAAAGGAAATTTAGTCATTTCCAACTGGGAATTCGTGACCGGGGCCATTTCTATACTAACTTTGAAGAAGAAATTAACCAAATTGAGATTCTCCTTAGATTCTGAAAGTGAGAACCCCCTGAGGGACAAAGCACAAATTCCTTCACTGAGAGACCAGATACCATCTCTTTATCCCTCCCTGGATGAAGACCAAGGACTGTGGCCTCTCCAGGTGGCTGAGATTTTTTATAGAAGAGTCCATGGCACCATGACCACTCTTTCAATCTCCAGAAGCCAATTTGGCCTTCTCTTAAGACTTTTCCTATCAGTTATTAAAAAAATAATAATAATACAGACCTACACCCCCACCCCGCATCCACACACATACACACACACAGGGATTGCTGGGTTCATTATTTTGACTGATTTTACTGCTTAGTATTTAAGGTGAATGGTCTCATACAGGTTAGGATAATGCTTTAAAATCTTAGAGATTGTTGAAAGGAATTAATTTTTATTCACCAGTGAATGAAAGCTATCTTTTGTACATTCATTATATGTATCTTCCTCATTTTAAAACAACATGAAGTTCTTGATGTAGTAAGCAGCTCATTTTGGCTGGGCACAGTCGTTCATGCTTGTATTCCCAACACTTCAGGAGGCACAGGAGGGTGGATCGCTTGAGCTCAGGAGTTTGAGAGCAACCTGGGCAACACGGCGAAACTGCATCGCTCCAAGAAAAATAATAATAATAATAATAATAATAATAATAAAACAATAAAAATAAAAACAGCCAGACACAATGGTGCATGCCTGTAGTCTCAAGCTATTTGGAAGGCTGTGGGAGAATCAGATCTCCTGAGCCTAGCCATTTGGGGCTGCGGTGAACTGAGATTACACCACTACTGCACTCCAGCCTGTGCAGCTAGACCTTGTTTCAAAACAAAGAAACAAACAAAAAACCCTCATTTTTACACTGAGTATCACTAAATCAATGTATATCAAGACTTATATAAAATGTGAATTTTGGATGCTATTAGATTTATTTAGTTTCAGCTATTTGATATATGAAAAATAGTTTTTAAATATTTCAACATTGATGAGGTTGAAATTGTCTTATATGTATGACAGAATAAACCCCTCATCACTGTGAATATTTACAGCAATCTTCCTTTTTCCAGCTTGCCTCATTAATTCTCCCCTGTTTGCACCCACTTTTCTTTGCAGCTCCACCTTTCCTGTCACCCTGACATACCTCTGCCTGAGGACCATTTTCC